>NC_000008.11:4896561-5198846 GCF_000001405.40 Homo sapiens | reverse complement strand
TTCTTTATTCTTAAATACTGAATAAACAAACTTCTTTAGGAATTAGAAGTAGCGACTTTTGCAAAAAGAAGTTGCAATCTAAATGTCTTCACAGTAAAAAACTAATATAGCATTTCTTAAGATTACAATTACCAAGTATTTATTTCAGAGGTGACATTAAAGAGAGAGTCATTATTAAAAACAATAGACTATTTCAAATTAGAAAATAGGAGACAATTTCAGACTGCAAATACGAAATTCAGCTCGTAGAGCATGAATATTACATTTGTAACAAAAAGATGATTAGTAGTTATAGATTTTTACATATGAAGCTAATTTCTTTAATAGCAAAAATTAGTATCTTGAAATTATATCAGCCTGTATCTAAGGAATGTATAATTTTTCTCATATTAAGTGTTAATTAAGTGTTCTATTTTTTCTTGTGTGACTCTATATTTCTATATTGTCTAATATTTCCAATACAATTTGATAATTACATGGCAAATGATAATTAAATCTAAAATAAAATTTATCAATCTATTTAAAATATTTAATAAAATATTTCAAAGAAAGCTTACACAAATTAACAATAGCCTCCAAAAATATTTTAGAGTTTTTTTAATTAAAATATAGATTTTTCTCTCTTAAAGTATTTTGTAAAATACACACATTTTCATTTGCATACATTTCAAATATAAATGTTACCTATTTAAAAAGAAAACATAAATTATGTAGTGCCTCTACCTACCTAAAGTTTAGGAGAAAACCTAAAATGTACTCACCTGTATGTATACATTTATTAAGAGATCTCTAACAATTTTGTACTCACTGAATTGAAAATCAACATAAAAAACAGAGACTTGCTTTGTTGGGCATGTGTTTTTGTCTAAAATATCAAACACTGTGTATTTAGACTTTACCAAGAGAATGTCAGATCTTCCAAGTCTCCAAAGTACTGAGAATCAAATAATGTGTCACATATATTTAGATTCACCCACTTTTTTTTTTTATTATTATACTTTAGGTTTTAGGGTACATGTGCACATTGTGCAGGTTAGTTACATATGTATACATGTGACATGCTGGTGCGCTGCACCCACTAAATCATCATCTAGCATTAGGTATATCTCCCAATGCTATCCCTCCGTCCTCCCTCCACCCCACCACAGTCCCCAGAGTGTGATATTCCCCTTCCTGTGTCCATGTGATCTCATTGTTCAATTCCTACCTATGAGTGAGAATATGCGGTGTTTGGTTTTTTGTTCTTGCGATAGTTTACTGAGAATGATGATTTCCAATTTCATCCATGTCCCTACAAAGGACGTGAACTCATCATTTTTTATGGCTGCATAGTATTCCATGGTGTATATGTGCCACATTTTCTTAATCCAGTCTATCATTGTTGGACATTTGGGTTGGTTCCAAGTCTTTGCTATTGTGAATAATGCCGCAATAAACATACCTGTGCATGTGTCTTTATAGCAGCATGATTTATAGTCCTTTGGGTATATACCCAGTAATGGGATGGCTGGGTCAAATGGTATTTCTAGTTCTAGATCCGTGAGGAATCGCCACACTGACTTCCACAATGGTTGAACGAGTTTACAGTCCCAGCAACAGTGTAAAAGTGTTCCTATTTCTCCACATCCTCTCCAGCACCTGTTGTTTCCTGACTTTTTAATGATTGCCATTCTAACTGGTGTGAGATGGTATCTCATTGTGGTTTTGATTTGCATTTCTCTGATGGCCAGTGATGACGAGCATTTTTTCATGTGTTTTTTGGCTGCATAAATGTCTTCTTTTGAGAAGTGTCTGTTCATGTCCTTGTTTTTAAGAGTAGTTCCGGAGTCAGAATATTTAAATTTGATCTATTCTTTATTTACTGCAAAGAAAACGAATAATTACATTTACCTATTGCTTTATCATGTAAATTTAGGCTACAAAAAATACATTTTAATTACTTGAGGATAAAAGGGAGACTCAGATATAATTTGTAACTCATTCTTTTTATAGAAGAGAAAATTTTAAGAAAGGAGTTGGGGAGGAAATCCTTAACAGGGGATTTATAACCACATCTTTGCTTTGGGGAATGCCTGAAGCAGACAGGTTTGAACTGGGAGAGACTTCCTCGTTTTTTCATAGGAAAGGTGAACCCGTAATACATATATAGTTGGTGTTTATCTGCCACTGAAACTGAAATGTATACCACGTTGAGAAAGTGTACTCGAAGCTGCAGCTGATGGCTGGGTTGTGGGAGGGACAATGTCATTGGCTGTGGCTCCTTGTTTGTCTTCTTCACTAATAATTATGAAAGCTTGAGGTTGGGTAAAAAACAATGACTTCTTGGAGTTTGTTGTAGTGCTTTAGAGAGAGGTAAAAATCTGAAGTCATTAAGAATGAGGGAACAGGAAAGTCAGAGGAAACCAATTGCAAATGCAAACAACCCCCAAATCTTAACACGAGAAAGTGTATTTTGCACATCCAATGGAGGTTAGATGGGGCAGGGGATCTAATCAGCACAGCCACTCAGGACCTCAGAATCATGTTGCCCCATTCTCCTTTATGGTTACGGAGTCTTCTCTGTTCACATAGTAAATGGGGAAAGTGAAAAAAGCACAGAGGAGTGCCAAAAGGTATTAGAAGCCAAAGCTGGAAGAGAGATGTAAGATCCATCGACGTTTCATTGGACATAATGCATGATATGGCCTCAGTTATGAGCAGTGGAGGCTGCCTATGCCAAAGAAAGAGGAAATAGAATATAATGAACACGTGAAATTTTCTTCCTTTGTATAATTAGCAAAAATGATTTTACAAGTAAATATTCTACTTTTTCATGATTCTTTTTAATCCTTAAGAGTTTCACATAGTTCATTGGAACTGAATAGAGAAAACAGAAATTGACATAAATACATCCAGCTGATTTTCAATTGAAGACTAAACTTTTCACAAAATGGTGCTGGACCAATTACACATCCATAGGCAAAAAACTAAACCTCAATCTAAACCTCGCACTTTACAAAGCATTGACTCAAAATGAATGACAAACAAAAATGTAAATAAGAATTTTAGAGGGAAAAATAGAAAAAATTTTCAGGATCTAACACTAGGTAAAGAATTCTCAGACTCCACATACAAAAAATCCATAAAAGAAAAATAAATACATAAACTAGACTTTATTGTAATTTAAGACTTTTGTTCTGCACAAGACTGTAGAAGACAAAAACAAACAAACAACAACGAAAAAACAAATAAGCTACAGCCGGGCGTGGTGGCTCAGGCCTGTAATCCAAGTACTTTGGGAGGCCGAGGCGGGCGGATCACCAGGTCAGGAGCTTGAGGTCATCCTGGCTAACAGGGTGAAACCCCATCACCACTAAAAATACAAAAAAATTAACCAAGTGTGGTGGCACGCACTGTAGTCCCAGCTACTTGGGAGGCTGAGGGAGGAGAATCACTTCAATCCGGGAGGCGGACTTTGCAGTGAGCCGAGATTGTGCCGCTGCACTCCAGCCTGGGCGACAGAGCAAGACTCCAAGACTCTGTCTCAATAAATAAACAAACAAACAAAGAAACAAACAAGCTACAGACCTGAAGGAAATGTTTACAAACCACATATCCAGCAAGTGCAGCAGTATGTAGAATATATAAATAACTCTGAAAACTCAATACTTTAAAAAAAAATAAATCCAATGAGAAAACAGGCAAAAGATGTGGCAGGGGGAAAAAGTAATATCTTTCTCTTACTCATGGCAAGGTTCATGGCAAAGGCTCCTCATTAAGAGAAATTCATAAAATGTATTTAATATACATTTTAGATGGCATAGGAGCTTTCAGAAAAGAAGACCTCAAGAAAACAGGAATATCTGTTTCTTTTCATGTTATGTTTGATAAGGAGTGGGCAGCTGTGCAAAACTGTGATCGGACAAAGGGGTAAGATCTAATGGTAATAAAGTGGGAGGCGCTTACTAAGGCCTGCTTGTTCAGATTCTTCTCGGCATCTCTCTGCATTTGTGAGGATAAGTGTGTTCCTTTCCTCCAGGTATAGGGAGATGCATCTGGAATGAAGTTCTTTTTTTTTTTTTTTGAAATGGAGTCTCACTCTGTCGCCCAGGGTGGAGTACAACGGCGTGATCTCAGCTCACTGCAACCTCCGCCTTCCAGATTCAAGCGATTCTCCTGCTTGAGCCTCCTGAGTAGCTGGGACCACAAGTGCACGCCACCATGCCCGGTTATTTTTTGTATTTTTAGTAGAGATGGGGTTTCACCGTGTTGGCCAGGCTGGTCTCAAACTCCTGACCTCATGTAATGTGCCCACCTCGGCCTCCCAAAATGCTGGGATTACAGGCATGAGCCACTGCTCCCGGCCAGGAGAACAGATTCTTATTGAACTTATGCAAATAACTATATTGCAATAAAATAAAAATATTCATGAATAATTTCCAAGTTCTGGAGGGATCAAGTAGAGAGAAAAAGTAATTGTTTCAATTTTGTTTATGAAAGCAGACCTTACCAAATTTTTCTAAGCTGCAGATAGTTTAAGAGTAAATTTTTTAAAAAATATTTTCTTAAAACTAGAAAACCAAACATTGAAGAACTAGCAATATTATAGAAAAAATCATTAAAAACTTGTAATTATTCTGTCAGTTCATTCAGTCCCATGTAATTAATTTTTTCTGTACTTGAAGCTGGAATAGCAGTTTTATAAATCCATCAGTTTCTTCATTAGAGTTCTCAAAATACTTTCATAGTCCGATGACAATATCTTAAAATTATCAGAAATCTGCACTCCACAGTACTTTCAGAGTCTTTTTCACAAATCTCTTTGAAAAAGAAGTAATATTGGATTGTGGATAATTGTAAATACTTTCAGAAAAGAATCAAAGTAAAACAATAATGTCTGTGAATGACAAAAGACTTAAAACAACCATCGTTAAAAACCTGGTGAGGCTTTATTGTAACAATGATGCAATTCACAAGTATATTTGGTTATTTATGTGGTATTAAAAATTTTAAAATCATAACCAAAATTGTAACTATTAACATTATACTAGGACATATCTAATTTCTAGGAATTTCATATAATTTTGGGATGCTCTTATGCAAATATAACTTAAAGAAGGCTTTGTGTTGCTTATTATTTGACAATGTTTCTCTTATAATTTAACATGGGAAATAAATCTAATTAGTTTAACATCTTTCTTTTATAAGGAGAAAAAAACAGATTCTTTGAACATATTCCAGGGGCTTTTCTGGAAATTTCCAAATTTAGTTTGTGGTCCAAAATACTTAATTTAAAATGTAATTTGGGGAAGTTGTCAAAAATTCCAAAAGTTTATAATTCTTCGTTAAATATAATGTGGGTTTTATATTTTAATGGCAATAAAAGATTTGAAAGGCAAGTACAGAAGGTTATATATTCTGTAGTTTAAAATAATTTCATAATTTTTAAAAACATGATTCCTTATAATACATTTCTCATGCTTATTAACAGCTTCAAATATATTTTATATTTTTGTGAAATGTGTAAAGCCAAAGGTAGATAAGTTTATCTTCCTCTTAGTTCAAAATTTTCCAGACAGTTAATGAATATTTATTACTTAATTTAACTTAGAATAAGGTAAAGGTTTCAAATGACCAAAATAATTTTAAAATTATTTTAGGTAGACATTTTTTATAAAACCTAATTAGTGTTGAATTTATTATTATTATTATTATTATTATACTTTAAGTTTCAGGGTACATGTGCACAATGTGCAGGTTAGTTACATATGTATACATGTGCCATGCTGGTGTGCTGCACCCATTAACTCGTCATTTTGCATTACTTGTATCTCCTAATGCTATCCCTCCCCCGTCCCCCTACCCCACAAACAGTCCCCAGAGTGTGATGTTCCCCTTCCTGTGTCCATGTGTTCTCATTGTTCAATTCCCACCTATGAGTGAGAACATGCTGTGTTTGGTTTTTTGTCCTTGCAGTAGTTTGCTGAGAATGATGGTTTCCAATTTCATCCATGTCCCTACAAAGGACATGGACTCATCATTTTTTATGGCTGCATAGTATTCCATGGTGTATATGTGCCACATTTTCTTAATCCAGTCTATCATTGTTGGACATTTGGGTTGGTTCCAAGTCTTTGCCATTGTGAATAGTGCCGCAATAAACATACGTGTGCATGTGTCTTTATAGCAGCATGATTTATAGTCCTTTGGGTATATACCCAGTAATGGGATGGCTGGGTCAAATGGTATTTCTAGTTCTAGATCCCTGAGGAATCACCACACTGACTTCCACAATGGTTGAACGAGTTTACAGTCCCAGCAACAGTGTCAAAGTGTTCCTATTTCTCCACATCCTCTCCAGCACCTGTTATTTCCTGACTTTCTAATGATTGCCATTCTAACTGGTGTGAGATGGTATCTCATTGTGGTTTTGATTTGCATTTCTCTGATGGCCAGTGATGGTGAGCATTTTTTCATGTGTTTTTTGGCTGCATAAATGTCTTCTTTTGAGAAGTGTCTGTTCATGTCCTTCGCCCTCTTTTTGATGGGGTTGTTTGTTTTTTTATTGTAAATTTGTTTGAGTTCATTGTAGATTCTGCATATTAGCCCTTTGTCAGGTGAGTAGGTTGCGAAAATTTTCTCCCATGTTGTAGGTTGCCTGTTCACTCTGATGGTAGTTTCTTTTGCTGTGCAGAAGCTCTTTAGTTTAATTAGATCCCATTTGTCAATTTTGGCTTTTGTAGCCATTGCTTTTGGTGTTTTAGACATGAAGTCCTTGCCCATGCCTATGTCCTGAATGGTAATGCCTAGGTTTTCTTCTAGGGTTTTTATGGTTTTAGGTCTAACATTTAAGTCTTTAATCCATCTTGAATTAATTTTTGTATAAGGTGTAAGGAAGGGATCCAGTTACAGGTTTCTACATACGGCTAGCCAGTTTTCCCAGCACCATTTATTAAGTAGGGAATCCTTTCCCCATTGCTTGTTTTACTCAGTTTTGTCAAAGATCAGATAGTTGTAGATATGCGGCGTTATTTCTGAGGGCTCTGTTCTGTTCCATTGATCTATATCTCTGTTTTGGTACCAGTACCATGCTGTTTTGGTTACTGTAGCCTTGTAATATAGTTTGAAGTCAGCATGATGCCTCCAGCTTTGTTCTTTTGGCTTAGGATTGACTTGGCGATGCGGGCTCTTTTTTGGTTCCATATGAACTTTAAAGTAATGTTTTCCAATTCTGTGAAGAAAGTCATTGGTAGCTTGATGGGGATGGCATTGAATGTATAAATTACCTTGGGCAGTATGGCCATTTTCACGATATTGATTCTTCCTACCCATGAGCATGGAATATTCTTCCATTTGTTTGTATCCTCTTTTATTTCCTTGAGCAGTGGTTTGTAGTTCTCCTTGAAGAGGTCCTTCACATCCCTTGTGAGTTGGATTCCTAGGTATTTTACTCTCTTTGAAGCAATTGTGAATGGAAGTTCACTCATGATTTGGCTCTCTGTTTGTCTGTTATTGGTGTATAAGAATGCTTCTGATTTATGTGCATTGATTTTGTATGCTGAGACTTTGCTGAAGTTGCTTATCAGCTTAAGGAGATTTTGGGCTGAGTCAATGGGGTTTTCTAGATATACAATCATGTCATCTGCAAATAGGGACAATCTGACTTCCTCTTTTCCTAATTGAATACCTTTTATTTCCTTCTCCTGCCTGATTGCCCAGGCCAGAACTTCCAACACTATGTTGAATAGGAGCGGTGAGAGAGGGCATCCCTGTCTTGTGCCAGTTTTCAAAGGGAATGCTTCCAGTTTTTGCCCATTCAGTATGATATTGGCTGTGGGTTTGTCATAGATAGCTCTTATTATTTTGTGATACGTCCCATCAATACCTAATTTATTGAGAGTTTTTAGCATGAAGTGTTGTTGAATTTTGTCAAAGGCCTTTTCTGCATCTATTGAGATAATCATGTGGTTTTTGTCTTTGGTTCTGTTTATATGCTGGATTACATTTATTGATTTCCGTATATTGAACCAGCCTTGCAACCCAGGGATGAAGCCCACTTGATCATGCTGGATAAATTTTTTGATGTGCTGCTGGATGTGGTTTACCAGTATTTTATTGAGGATTTTTGCATCAATGTTCATCAAGGATATTTGTCTAAAATTCTCTTTTATGGTTGTGTCTCTGCCCGGCTTTGGTATTGGGATGATGCTGGCCTCATAAAATGAGTTAGGAAAGATTCCCTATTTTTCTATTGATTGGAATTGTTTCAGAAGGAATGGTACCAGTTCCTCCTTGTACCTCTGGTAGAATTCGGCTGTGAACCCATCTGGTCCAGGACTCTTTTTGGTTGGTAAGCTATTGATTATTGGCACAATTTCAGAGCCTGTTATTGGTCTATTCAGAGATTCAACTTCTTCCTGGTTTAGTCTTGGGATGGTGTACTTGTCGAGGAATTTATCCATTTCTTCTAGATTTTCTAGTTTATTTGTGTAGAGGTGTTTGTAGTATTCTCTGATGGGAGTTTGTATATCTGTGGGATCGGTGGTGATATCCCCTTTATCATTTTTTATTGCATCTATTTGATTCTTCTCTCTTTTCTTCTTTATTAGTCTTGCTAGTGGTATATCAATTTTGTGGATCCTTTCAAAAAACCAGCTCCTGGATTCATTAATTTTTTGAAGGGTTTTTTGTGTCTCTATTTCCTTCAGTTCTGCTCTGATTTTAGTTATTTCTTGCCTTCTGCTAGCTTTTGAATGTGTTTGCTCTTGCTTTTCTAGTTCTTTTAATTGTGATGTTAGGGTGTCAATTTTGGATCTTTCCTGCTTTCTTTTGTGAGCATTTAGTGCTATAAGTTTCCCTCTATGCACTGCTTTGAATGTGTCCCAGAGATTCTGGCATGTTGTGTCTTGGTTCTCGTTGGTTTCAAAGAACATCTTTATTTCGGCCTTCATTTCGTTATGTACCCAATAGTCATTCAGGAGCAGGTTGTTCAGTTTCCATGTAGTTGAGCGGTTTTGAGTGAGTTTCTTAATCCTGAGTTCTAGTTTGATTGCACTGTGGTCTGAGAGACAGTTTGTTATAATTTCTGTTCTTTTACATTTGCTGAGCAGAGCTTTACTTCCAAGTATGTGGTCAATTTTGGAATAGGTGTGGTGTGGTGCTGAAAAAAATGTACATTCTGCTGATTTGTGGGGGAGAGTTCTGTAGATGTCTATTAGGTCCGCTTGGTGCAGAGCTGGGTTCAATTCCTGGATATCCTTGTTAACTTTCTGTCTCATTGATCTGTCTAATGTTGACGGTGGGGTGTTAAAGTCTCCCATTATTATTGTGTGGGATTCTAAGTCTCTTTGTAGGTAACTCAGTACTTGCTTTATGAATCTGGATGCTCCTCTATTAGGTGCATATATATTTAGGATAGGTAGCTCTTATTGTTGAATTGATCCCTTTACCATCATGTAATGGCCTTCTTTGTCTCTTTTGATCTTTGTTGGTTTAAAGTCTGTTTTATCAGAGACTAGGATTACAACCCTTGCCTTTTTTGTTTTCCATTTGCTTGGTAGATCTTCCTCCATCCTTTTATTTTGAGCCTATGTGTGTCTCTGCACGTGACATGGGTTTCCTGAATACAGCACACTGATGATTCTTGACTCTTTATCGAATTTGCCAGTCTCTGTCTTTTAATTGGAGCATTTAGTCCATTTACATTTAAAGTTAATATTGTTATGTGTGAATTTGATCCTGTCATTATGATGTTAGCTGGTTATTTTGCTCGTTAGTTGATGCAGTTTCTTCCTATTCTCAATGGTCTTTACATTTTGGCATGATTTTGCAGTGGCTGGTACCGGTTGTTCCTTTCCATGTTTAGTGCTTCCTTCAGGAGCTCTTTTAGGGCAGGACTGGTGGTGACAAAATGTCTCAGCATTTGCTTGTCTGTAAAGTATTTTATTTCTCCTTCACTTATGAAGCTTAGTTTGGCTGGATATGAAACTCTGGGTTGAAAATTCTTTTCTTTGAGAATGTTGAATATTGGCCCCCACTCTCTTCTGGCTCCTAGAGTTTCTGCCAAGAGATCAGCTGTTAGTCTGATGGGCTTCCCTTTGTGGGTAACCCGACCTTTCTCTCTGGCTGCTCTTAACATTTTTTCCATCATTTCAATTTTGGTGAATCTGACAATTATGTGTCTTGGAGTTGCTCTTCTCGAGGAGTATCTTTGTGGCATTCTCTGTATTTCCTGAATCTGAATGTTGGCCTGACTTGCTAGATTGGGGAAGTTCTCCTGGATAATATCCTGCAGAGTTTTTTCCAGCTTGGTTCCATTCCCCTCATCACTTTCAGGTATACCAGTCAGACATAGATTTGGTCTTTTCACATAGTCCCATATTTCTTGGAGGCTTTGTTCATTTCTTTTTATTCTTTTTTCTCTAAGCTTCCCTTCTCGCTTCATTTCATTCATTTCATCTTCCATTGCTGATACCCTTTCTTCCAGTAGATTGCATCGGCTCCTGAGGCTTCTGCATTCTTCAAGTAGTTCTCAAGCCTTGGCTTTCAGCTCCATCAGTTCCTTTAAGCACTTCTCTTTATTGATTATTCTAGTTATACATTCGTCTAAATTTTTTTCAAATTTTTTAACTTCTTTACCTTTGGTTTGAATTTCCTCCTGTAGCTTGGAGTAGTTTGATCATCTGAAGCCTTCTTCTCTCAGCCCATGAAAGTCATTCTCCATCCAGCTTTGTTCCATTGCTGGTGAGGAACTGCATTCCTTTGGAGGAGGAGGGGCACTCTGCTTTTTAGAGTTTGCAGTTTTTCTGCTGTTTTTTTCCCCGTCTTTGTGGTTTTATCTACTTTGGTCTTTGATGATGGTGATGTACAGATGGGTTTTCGGTGTGGATGTCCTTTCTGTTTGTTAGTTTTCCTTCTTACAGACAGGACCCTCAGCTGCAAGTCTGTTGGAGTTTGCCAGAGGTCCACTCCAGACCCTGTTTGCCTGGGTGTCAGCAGCAGTGGCTGCAGAAGAGCGGATTTTCGTGAACCGTGAACGCTGCTGTCTGATCGTTACTCTGGAATTTTTGTCTCAGAGGAGTACCCAGCCATGTGAGGTGTCAGTCTGCCCCTACTTGGGGGTGCCTCCCAGTTAGGCTGCTCGGGGGTCAGGGGTCAGGGACCCACTTGAGGAGGCAGTCTGCCCGTTCTCAGATCTCCAGCTGCATGCCGGGAGAACCACTGTTCTCTTCAAAGCCGTCAGACAGGGACATTTAAGTCTGCAGAGGTTACTACTGTCTTTTTGTTTGTCTGTGCCCTGCCCCCAGAGGTGGTGCCTACAGAGGCAGGCAGGCCTCCTTGAGCTGTGGTGGGCTCCAACCAGTTCGAGCTTCCCTGCTGCTTTGTTTACCTAAGCAAGCCTGGGCAATGGCGGGCGCCCCTCCCCCAGACTCGCTGCCACCTTTCAGTTTGATCTCAGACTGCTGTGCTAGCAATCAGTGAGACTCTGTGGTTGTAGGACCCTCCGAGCCAGGTGCGAGATATAATCTCCTGGTGCGCCGTCGGAAAAGCGCAGTATTATGGTGGGAGTGACCTGTTTTTCCGGGTGCCGTCTGTCACCCCTTTCTTTGACTAGGAAAGGGAACTCCCTGACCCCTTGTGCTTCCCGAGTGAGGCCATGCCTCACCCTACTTCTGCTCACACACAGTGCGCTGCACCAACTGTCCTGCACCCACTGTCTGGCACTCCCTAGTGAGTTGAACCCAGTACCTCAGATGGAAATGCAGAAATCACCCGTCTTCTGCGTCGCTCACGCTGGGAGCTGTAGACCGGAGCTGTTCCTATTCGGCCATCTTGGCTGCCAGCCGATACTTGTAGTGTTGAAATTTTTTTTTATAAACTTTATCCCACTTACATTCACTTAATTAACTCATACTTAACAATTATATTTGAACTGCCTGTGAACATTGTATAAGAAATTAAATAAAGCACATCTGAAGTTATTTCTTTTGTTGATGAATCAGGCAAATATTAAAAATATCACAGAAGCAAAGAAACTAAAGAAAGATAAACATAGTTCTGTCTTTCTCTCTTCCAGATTGTCATGCATCAGCAGTTCAGTTTACTTGTACGTTTTTCACTTCAACTGGATTTACAGTTTGATCATTTTAAACATCTCCAATCTTGTTTGACTATTAAGCCTAGAGGGAAAAATGTCTGCATTATATATAATGGCAACCACTCTTTTTTTTTTTTTTTTTTTTTTTTTTTGAGATGGAGTCTAACTCTGTCACCCAGGCTGGAGTACAGAGGTGTGATCTTGGGACACTGCAATCTCTGCCTCCCAGGTTCAAGCAATTCTCCCTGCCTCAGGCTCCCAAGTAGCTGGGATTACAGGGGCCTGCCAACATGCCCAACTAAGTTTTGTATTTTTAGTAGAGATGGTGTTTTGCCATGTTGGCCAGGCAGGTCTCGAACTCCTGACCTCAGGTGATTCACCTGCTTTGACCTCCCAAAGTGCTGGGATTACAAGTGTAAGCCACTGCACCTGGCCTAATGTTAACCATTCTGAATACAGTTTTCTTTCAACTTTACCAAAAATTTTAAAGTAATCTTATTTGTTAAAGATTTACCCCCTAAGCATATAAACTTGAAAAGAAGTTTTGGATTAGTTTATATTTTTCTGAAAGTTTTAGGAATACTTAAATTATATAAGCACTCATTTGTCCCTGAGCCAATTGCAATAGATCTCTTTTAAGGGATTTTATAAATTAATCTGGTAATATCATCTAGAAGTAAAAAAAAAATCACATAGACATAACATGCAGATGTACATGCAGACATAAACATACATAAGGATGCAGATAGATGCAAAATGTTATAGCATTTATTATAAAATGGTATCCATGTGCCAGGTATGATAAGACAAAACTCAGTGGTTTATAAAAAAAAAATTCTGATCTGAATTGTGTTTCTGGTAGATGAAACAAGATTTACCTACTGAAATGGCTAAAGCTTTGTACTAATATGGGTGGGAAAGACAATATTTTTTATTTGCCCAGTTTCCAAATACTTTTCTTTTTCATTCCCTTCTGATGATAATCTCCTTGAAGTTTGTATTTTGAAAAGACAACTATCAGGTTTTGGAGAAGGCAGTAGAAAATTTCCATTTCAAAAATACAGAAAATGAATCCAAGTTTTCTCCTAGAAGGAGTTTTGTGATATATTTGCTTATTATCAGAGGCCAATCTTGTGGAGATTGTGACAAAACATCTATTGCTGCCCTTATTCAGTCTATTTCTAATTAACTTTCTTTTTCGTTTTCTTTTCAGCCTCACATAGTTGCTTTTGGGGAAGCAGGAGTCTCTTGAGAGCAAGGGGCCAAAGTTCAAGTGACTGGAGGGCTGGAATAGAAGAAAGCCAGACAGAGGTAGAGAGATAGAGGAAGTAGGGATTTGAAGGGGGACATATCAAGGACTTAAAGAAACTGAACGCAAGATTGGAGGTGGCAAGAGAAGGAAGCTAGACCAGAAGAAAACAGAAAAAAGAGGTCTTAGAGGAGCCAGTTTAGAGCATAACCCAAGAGTTCAAGTTCCAATAGAAAGATGTGGTCAGAGTTGGTGTGGCATGGAGTTAGCACTGGCTAAAGAAGAATGCCAGTTGACTGAGAAGGTCTAATGTGAAAAGCAGAATCTAATAGAAAGAATCATAGAGTACTTAAAAATATCAGCTTCTATTTAAAATGACTTGTAACTATAGAGCTCTTAAAAAGTTATTTTAAATATCTTATTGCCAGGTTTCAACTAGGACAAACAGCAAATATTCCTGAAGTATTAAATTTCTTCTTTTTTCGTCTTCTTTTAAACCAAAGATTTCTATCAAGTATTTCATAACCAACACCAAAAAACCTTTTATGACTTAAATATCGACCAAAGAGTTTTACTCAAAAAAGATGCTAAAAACTGCAGCTCTCCCAAGATACACCACCACTATCAAGGACATCCAAGAGAATAAAAGACACAGAACCACACCCTGAGAGCTGGAAATACTCAGTCTGTTTGCTGCAAGTGGGGTGCCACTCACATTTCTCCCTAGCCACATTCTCAGGGCCTTCCAACCTGAAGTCTGCTGCCTACACACAAAAAGCTGACAACTTAAGCACCCCAAAAAGTGAAAAGCCAAGCCAAGTTTTCAGGACATATAACAAGACAGATGGGAGCAATTGCTGTCCCTGGGAGGGAAAAGATTAATAACGAATAGATATCCCCAAACCAGAATTATGCAAGAGTAACAGTAGAAACACATGGTTTTCTCCTGTTAATCTGAATTTAGAATGAAAGGGAAAAGGAGAAGATTTTAGTTTCTTCTCTCAATTGGGCACTACAGACAGAGATCTTGGAGAGCTGATCTTGGTAAAAATGTTTACCTTTGATAAGTGTCTTAGTTCATTTTCTTTTGCTTGTGACATAATAGCTGAAACTGGGTAATCTATAAAGAAATGAAATGTATTTCTTACAGTTATAGAGGCTGAGAAGTCCAGGGTTGAGGGGCAGTATCTGGAGAGGACCTTCTTGCTGATGGGGACTCTCAGCAGAGTCCTGAGGAAGCTCAGGGTAGCACATAGTAAAGGGCTGACTGCAGTAGCTTAGGTCTCTGTCTCTTCTTATAAACCCACCAGTCTTGCTGCAATGATGACCCATTCATCCATTAACCCACCAACCCATGAATAAATTAATCTATACAGGAGGGCAGAGCCTTCATGACCCAGTTGCCTCTTAAAGGCCCTACCTCTTAGTTTTGCCACATTAGAGATTAAGTTTCACATGAGTTTCAGAGGGGACCAACATTCAAACTGTAGCAATGCATTTCTCATCAGTTATCTAAGGATCTCATTAGCATGCTCCAGAGTGGGTGGGGTATCTCAGTTGTCCCATCTAGAGTCCCCGAAACTACTGGGGAGAAGAAGTAATATTTTTTTCTTCACCCATTGCAAGGTTTATGGATAAGACTTCTACACAAAAGATAGATTAACAAGAGAAAAGCCTACAAATTTATTTAAGTTTTACCTGACATCGATGACGTTAGAAATGAATACTTAAAGAAACAGGAAAAACCTGCACATTTTTATGCAAGGCTTGATGATTAGTGGATAGTTGTGTAGAAACATGATTGGCTAAAGGGGATATAATTCAATGGTAATAAACTGGGGGGAACTTAGCAAGGTCTACTTGCTCAGATTCTTCTTGGTATCTCTATGTCTTTAAGGATAAGAAGGTTCCTTTCTGGCTGAGTATGGTGGCTCATGCCCGTAATCCCAGGAGTTTGAGAGGCCAAGGCGGGCAGATCACTTGAGGTCAGGAGTTTGAGACCAGCTTGGCCAACATGGTGAAACTCTGTCTCCACTAAAAATACAAAAATCAGCTAGGCATGCTGGTGGGTGTCTGTAATCCCAGCTACTTGGGAGGCTGAGGCAGGAGAATTACTTGAACCTGGGAGGCAAAGGTTGCAGTAAGCCAAGATCGCACCATCGCGCTCCAGCCTGGGTGACAGAGTGAGAGACACCATATCAGAAAAAAAAAAAAAAAAGTTCCTTTTTTCAAGGTGTAAGGAGGGAAGTTCTGGAATGAAGGTTTTATGAGCTAATTCAAAAAGGAAGTTCAGAGAATCCTTTTATGTCCTGCTTCAGGGGAGAATATTGAGACTTTCCTGTTTCTGCTGTTTTCACAAAGGCCAAGGTGCCGTATTTTGGGGTATTCTGTCCTGAACCCCATCAAAGACTCAAAACAGCATATAAATGAAGAGGACATGCAAACTGTGAATAAGCATGTACAATGATATTCAACATCATTAGCCATTTGAACCATGAAAATTAAAACCTAAATCAGATAGCACTACATACCTATAAGAATGGCTACAGTTTAAAAAAGGCCAGGCACAGTGGCTCATGCCTGTGATCCTAGTACTTTGGGAGGCCAAGGCGGGCAGATCACCTGAGGTCAGGAGCTCGAGACCACCCTGGGCATCATGGTGAAACCCTATTTGTATTAAAAATACAAAAATTAGCCAGGCATGGTGGTGCACACCTGTAATCCCAGCTACTTGGGAGGCTGAAGCATGAGAATCACTTGAGCCCGGGAGGTAGAGGTTGCAGTGATCTGAAATCATGTCGCTGCACTCCAACTAAAGCAACAGAGCAAGACTCTGTTTCAAAAAGAAAAAAAAAATAGTGACATGAAAGTCAGAGAACCTGCATCACTCACACAATGCTACTGGGAATGGAATAGAATGTAACATGGTAGGCGTTCTCTGGAAAACAGGTTGGCAGGTTTTGGAAAAGTCATACACGCAAGTACCACATGACACAGCCATTGCACATTGGAGCATTTATTTCAGAGAAATGAAAATCTGTACATACATTTTTGTAGCAGCTTTACCCATGATAGCCCACTCTATAAACAGCCCAGATGTTCTTCTACAGTGAAATGGTTAATCATTATGTGGACAGCCTGTGAATACAGCGGGAGCTACTGAAGCTCACAACAACTGGGATTACTTTCCAGAGAAGTATCTTTTGTGAAAAAGCCAGTCTCAAGAAGTTACACACTGTATAAAGCTATTTACATAGCAGCCTAGAAATGGCAAAATTATAAAAATGGAGAATAGATAAGCGGTTACTGGAATGAAAAAATGGGGGATGGAGAGAGATGAGTAGGAGGGAAATGGATGTTCTTTTAAAAGAACAAGCTGGGAAGTTCTCGTGGTGACAGGAATGCTTTGTCCCTCAGCTGATGTCAGTATCCTCATCATATTGCACTATCATACTACAAGATGTTAACATTTTGTTAAAATAAATATCTTTCTTATTTCTAAAAACGGCATGTAAATCTACAATTATCTCAAAATAGGTTAATACAACGTTTTTGCTTTACTGGAGAAAAATTAGCATGTAATAACAAAGTTTTCAGTATGTTCATATTTTAACATAACTCATGTTTGAAGTCAATATTTAGTTAAGATCAGCACCAAACATTATGATTTTTATACTGCATTTATTTTATTTGTAGTTATAAATTAAACAGATGTTAAGCTTTCAACTTTAAAGCTATGTTTCTGAAATACTAATACAAATGCTTTTTACCTGAAAGCTATTTACATTTTTACATTTCTACTAAAATTTCGGGTTTCTTAAATAAAATGTAGGAAATGTTTTATTCAATTTCACATTTAATACTTGAGTAATGATGAAAGCAAATAGACATATGTGTACTTATTAATTAAATTTTAATGGTAAGCATTTTTTCTGAATTCAAAAATAATAAAATTGGGGACATTATGTCATAGTTGTCTCTCTCTTTTGAATAAATACCTTCTTTACTAATAAAAACATATTGGTATTAAAACGTTAGCTTCCTGTTCTCCTAATACAGTAAAATAATTTCTCCATTAATTATATGATTTTTTTGAAGTGGAATCCTGAAGGCTTAGCCCATTTTGAAGTGGTTTTGGAGCATAACCTACATTTACTGGAAAGCAGGCTTATAATTTCGTATTCATTTTACAAACAAATGGCATATTCTATTCTGAGCAACTGTACAAATCCATATATTTTTGTCATATTAGAAATAGTCACATTTGGTTTTCATTTTTAGTAAAATTCAAATACTGTCAGAGAAAATTACTTTCAAAATCATAAAACTTTATGCTCTTAAACATCTTTAGCAGTGCTTTATTTAAAATCAACTACTTCTGAGTCTTGGGATTGAACTTGGATTGATGTTTGACATTACTTCTTCAAGGAATTAATTGGATTGGATTTAGCATCTTCATTTCTTTATCCTGAAATTGCTTCTGGTTCCTCTCCCTTACTTCCATCGCTTTTTCTCTGAAATAAGGGCAGGGAAATCAGTTTTATCTTTTTTTTATGAAGTACCCAGGTGTAGTAGTAATCTCATTGTGAAGGATCTTCACAACCAACAGGCAATGGCAGTAGCCAGTCCTCAGATTGAAAAATCCACAGTAAAAACTACTGGAAATTATAGTTCAAGCTTTGATAAGCCCTATTTCGTACAAGAAAGTCCGGGAACACTAAAGTCAAAAAAAAAAAAAAAAAAAAAACCTCACAAAGTTAAATATGTATTGGTGTATTCAGCAAGTCTTGGGTCTGAAGTTTAAACATATAGGTTTAGAAAACAGATTGTAGTAAGCACTGAGGATGACTCCTCATTTTGGTAACAATGACTGTCATTAACTAGACTCTCAAGAGATTCCTATATACAAAAGTTTATTGATTTTTATGTGGACCAGAAGTCTATCAGTGCATTCTTTACCCAGCTGCAATTTTAAAGCAGAAGATTGCTAAATGGGCATAGACTAAAAGGAATTTGACTTGTAGATGGATGCCAGTCAAACCATACACCTTGAGAGACAAATGCAACCGGGTTCATAATAGACAAAGATTTGCCACAGAATAAAGACATCTTTCTAGAGCCAAGATCAAATGGGAAGCTACCCAATTAATCTCATTTGAGTAGCACATTCCATACAAATAAATAATATCAGAATGTCTTCAAGTCTTACTGTCTCAGTCCACTTTATGTTGCTATAAAGTATACTTGAGACTGGGTAATTTATAAAGAAAATAAATTACTTGGCCTGTGGTTCTGGAGGCTGGGACGCTCAAGGGCATGGTAGCAGCTTCCAGGGAGGGCTTTTTTCACTGTGTCGAAACATGCCAAAGGGTATTACATAGTTAGAGGAGAAAAGCATGTGTGTCAGCTTGGGTCTCTCTTCCCCTTCTTATAAAGCCACCAGTCCAATCATCAGGGCGCCATCCTGATGACTTTATCTTATCCCGAAAATCCTATTTCCAAACAACATATGAATTTGGAGATAAAGTTTTCAACACATGAAATTTGGGGGATATAACATTCCACTCCAGCCCCCTAAATTAACATTATTCTCATATGCAAGATACATTTATTCCTTTCCAGTGGCCCCAAAGTCTTAACTCATTTGGCAGCAACTTAAGGTCCAAAGTCCTGAGTCCCATCTTAATCAGACATGGGTGAGACACAGGGCACAATTTATCCTAAGGCAAATTTCCTCCAGCCGTGAGCCTGTGAAATCAAACAAATTATGTACTTTCAAAATACAATAGTGGGACAGACAGAGGATATATATTTCTATTCCGAAATGGGGAAAGAGAAAATAGAAAAAGAACTTGTCTCAAGGAAGACCAGAATCCAAAAAGGAAAACATTAAATCTCAAAACTTCAGAATGATTTTTCACTGTGCATGCTGCCTCCCAGACACACCAGAGTGAATGTTGAGCCCCCAAGGCCTTTGGAAGCCCACTCCCCGTGTCTTTTCTGGGCTGAGCCCACGCTTCAGCACTCCTAGGATGGCATAACCTACTGGTAGCTTTGCAGTTCTGAAGTCTCATTGGTGATCCTGCTGCCAAGGCTGCAGTAGGCATTGCCTTGGTAGGAACTCTTTGTGACAGCTTTGACGCCACATACACTCAGTGTTGCCCTAGTAGGGTTCTCTGTGATGCCTGAAACAAGTCTCTGCCTGGGACCCCAGTCTGTCCTCAACATCCTTTGACGTCTAGGTGAGGAAGAAATGCCTCCATAGCTCTTGCATTCTGCAAGCCTATAGAATTAGTGCCACTTGGACACTGCCAAGGCTTATGGCTTGTATCTTCCAGAATCAAGCCACAGTTGGGGCAATCTAGAAGCACTGTGCTAAAATTTAGGGAACAAAGACCTGAGGTGGCCCTGGGCAGTGAGCCCAGGGAGGGCCTAGGCCTGTCCTCCAAAACCATTCTGACCTTCTAGAGCTCTGGGCCTAAGAAGGAACTCTCAAAGATCTCTGAAATCCCTTCTAAGTCTTTTTGCCATTGTCTTGATAATCCCTTCTATTAGCACTAAACCCTTTAGCAAACAGTTTCTGGGATACACCCTTGGTTTCCTCTCCTTAATATGTTTTTTCATTCTTTACCAAATGGCCAAGCTGTGAATTTTCCAAATCTTTCAGATCTGCTACATTTTTAATTAAAAATTCTGTCTTTAAATCATCTCTCTTCTCTCATATTTTACGGTAAGCAGTTAAAAGTAGCCATGCAGCCACTCTAAGTTTTGCTCCTTAGCGATTTCTTCTACCTAGTATCCTAGTTTATTGTTTTTAATTTCTGCATTTTATGAAACTTTAGGGCATGGGGATAATTCAGCCGTGTTTTTTGCTATGATATAACAAGGATGACCTTTAGTTTCCAACACCTCCTTCCTCATGCTCATCCGAGGCCTCATCATAATCATCTTTACTCCTTATTTCTGCCAGCATTCTGATCACAACCACTTAAGTGATTTGTAAGTAGTTGCAGACTTTCCCATATCTTTTCTTCTGAGCCATGAGAATTGCCCTTCACACTCCATTTGCAGCATTCTAGGCTTGTTCTAGCCTGCTCCTGCACATTATCCAGTTACAAAGCTGCTTCCACAATTTTAGGTAATTGTTATAACAACCTTGCTCTGGGTGCAAATTTTTTGTCTTTGTCCATTGTTTTCTACTGATATGAAAGAATTTCTGAGACTCGGAAACTTGTAAGGAAAAGTAGTTTATGTGGCTCACAGCTTTGGAGAACAGGAAGTCGATGGACATGGCGTCAGGGCAAGAGCGTGCACATCAGCCCAGGTCCCCATTGATCTTCTTCTAAAGATACTAGTCCCCTCGTGGAGGTCCCACCTGATGACCTTATCTAGTCCTATTTCCTCCCAAAGGACTCAGCTCCAATCAACATATACATTTGAGGAATAAGTTTCCAACACTTGAAATTTAGAGGACGTATTGGAGCCACATCACTGACCCTTAAAATGCCATCTTTCTAAAGTTACTTTAGCAAATCTGATTCTGGTACATTTATGCTGACTTCCTAAATTTACCTACATATATACCCATTTTTTGGGGTCTAGGAATCAGAGAACATGTGACATTGAGAAAGTCACTTCTCTGCACTTTACTTTCTCTTGCAGAAATGAGATGATAAGAACTGGCCTACCTATATTGATGTATACTTTGATGTCAACATACTCTTTGCAAACTCTTTAATTTTGGAAATAGAAAATTTAAATATATTATAGGACTAGTAAATGAATTTTCCTTTTTTTTTTCTATTTTGATTTTTCATTTCTTAGAAATTTTATCACAAGAAAACTCAAAGTTGGGCTGGGTGCAATGGCTCATGCCTGTAATCCCAGCACTTTGGGAAGCCAGGGCAGGAGGATCACTTGAGGTCAGGAGTTCAAGAGTAGTAGTAAATGATTATAGAAATACTTGAATTACCTTTCCCTAGGGATCAATGCTAAAAGAGGTTCTTTAAGTGCACATGGGTAAGCAGATAGAGAGATGGTTCAAAGAGTATAATATAAACAGACAATCCATAAAATGTTCTTTTTAGTAATGAAAATAGTGTTCAACCGTACATTTGAAATAAATAGAAAGGAGTCAAATAGAAATGGGAACAAAGTTGGAAGACTTACACTATCTGACTGTCAGACTTATTATAAAGCTATAATAATCTAACAGGTTAGTATTAGCACCAAGATGAACAAACATATAATTAGAATAAAACAATGATGGCCAGGCGTGGTGGCTCACGCCTGTACTCCCAACACTTTGGGAGGCTGAGGCAGATGGATCAAAAGGTCAAGAGATGGAGATCATCATGGCCAACATGGTGAAACCCAGTCTCTACGAAAAATACAAAACTTAGCTGGGCGTGGTGGTGCATGCCTGTAGTCCCAGCTACTCAGGAGGCTGAGGCAGGAGGATCACTTGAACCCAGGAGGTGGATGTTGAAGTGAGCCGAGATCGCGCCACTGCACTCCAGCTCCAGCCTGGTGACAGAGTGAGACTTTGTCTCAAAAAAAAAAAAAAAAAAAAGCCAAAAACATAAAAGCAAACAACAACAACAACAAAAAAAAAACGATGATTCTAGATAAACACTTACATGTATATGGCCAAATGATTTTTAATAAAAATTTAATAGTCATTTTGTAAAATAAATAAATAAATAAATCATTCTAAGATACAAAAGGAAAGAAATATACCCTTAACTCCATCCCTCATAGCACATATAAACACTAACTCAAAATATATCCGATGTAAACTATGAAACTTCTAGAAGAAAACAGAAGAAAAACTTTGTGACTACCGTTTAGAAAAAAAATTTTATAGATACAACACCAAAAGAAGAATCCCTAAAAGAGCAAATCGATACTTTGAACTTTATCAAAATTAAAATTTCTGCTCTTAATAAGACACTTCTGGGAATTGAAAAGGCAAACCAAGGACTGACAGGAAATGCTTGAGAATCAAATACCTGATAAAGAACTTTTATCCAAAATATATAAAGCATGATCAAAACTCAATTTAAAAACCACTCTATATAACAATGATCGAAACATTGCAACAGACACTTCATCTAAGATGATATCTAGATAGTAATTTAGTTAATGAAACGTAGTCAACTTTTAGTCATTTATGGTTAATGCAAATTCAAATCACAATGAGAAACCACTACCTACCTATTAGAATAAATAGAATCAATAAAATCACAATTAGAACCACTACCCACCTATTAGAATAAGTACAGATAGCCGGGCGTGGTGGCACGAGCCTGTAGTCCCAGCTACTCAGGAGGCTGAGGTAGGAGCATTGCTTCAACCCGGGAAGCATAGGTTGCAGTGAGCAGAGGTTGAGCCACTGCACTCCAGCCTGGGTGACAAAGCCAGATTCTGTCTCAAACAAAACAAAAGAAGAATAGGAATAGAATGAATAAAGAAAAAAAAGACTGCTCATGCCAGATGTGGACAGGGATGTGTGGGAGCTAGAACTTTCCTACAATGTTGATAGGAATGTAAAATTATACCATCATTTTGGAAAACAGATCATGCATTTCTTAAAAAGTTAGACATTTGCCATATCCCCGTTTATTTCACTCTCAGGTGTTTACCCAAGACAAATAAAAGCATGTCCCCATTTAAAGACTTGTCCACAAATGTGCACAGTAGTTTTATTCGTAACACACAAAGGCTGGAAAAAACCCAAATGTTCATCAAAAGGTGAGTGAATGGAGCATGACTAAGATGAAAAAGAAAGGAAGCAGGGCTACAGGAAGAGGGATGAATGTCAAAATAGGCATGCTCGTTAGAACAAGCTGTACAAACAAACCAGGTGGATTACTCTGTATAAAAATGTAGAAGGTACGAGCTAACCTATCATGAAAGCAGACAGTGGTTGCTAACTGTGGGGTCACGGACAGGCAAGAATGCAAGTCCAGGCAGCAAAGACATGTGAGGAAACTTTGACGTGATGGATAGGTTCAGTATTTGGATTGCAGTGACGGTTTCACAGGTGTATACACACATCAAAACCTACCAATTATGCACTTCAAACCTGTGCAGTTTATTTTATGGCAATTACACCTCATTAAAGCACTTAAAAATCTCAAAAAAATGTAAATGTGAAGAAGTTGACACTTCCATAAATAAAATACACACACAAATATAAATAAAATAAAATTCCTGGTGCACGCTAATAATATTTTTTTCCATATTGTTACAGTCTCTGTTAAGTGTACACATAGGATTGATTTTGTTGTATTGTGTTTAGAAAACTGGAAAGATTATTTAGCCTCTATTATTACTGGTCAAAATGTCTTATAGAAGCTTAGGTGCATGAAACGTGCAACGTTACACCTAGTACCGCTTAGTTCGAGGAGATTGTTCTCAGACACTTCAATGCTGATAAATTGTATATCATTTACTTCCTATCAAAAAATGAGTGGTTATTTGGTAGTTTAGCTCCTGCCATACTACTACTGCATGGTAGAGCTATGCCAAACTCAGAAGTTTAGATAAAAAGTGTCCATTGCCATGTATCTCCAGGCTAGCCGGCATTTGGCTCTCTTGGGTAGGCTCCGCTAGATGGCTGGGGCAACTCTGCTTGTCACTGAGGTTCTGTGGGTCACCTGGGGTCTCTGCTGCATGCTGTTCTTGTTCTCTTTGGACCGTAAGTTTAGCAGGGCATATTGCGCTCACAGACGCGGCAGAGAGAACTGAGTGGAGCCACGTGTGGCCTCTGAAGGGTTCACACCCTGCATCAGCATATCGACATCCCTTCTTCATTCCTTTGGCCATAGTAAGGCACAAGGATGAGCAGAGTGAGGAACAGAGAAGGGTGATTTACCTGTAAGGAGAGCAAAGCAAGTGTGTGGGTGCAGAGAGCTGTGGAGGAATGGGGCTAGTTATCCAATCAGCCACCTGCATGCGTCATGGGTATACTGAATTACTAAATATTTCCATCCAGGAGTCAACTTTGCTTTTGACTAGAACTGGATATTCTGCCTATTTTTTTAAACCCATCATATTGTAATTTTTATGGTTCCTCTTTCAGTCCTGAGGTCTGTGTCAAGAGTGTCCATGGGCCAAGACAGCCACCCTCTGGGAGAGGCCTGATCCAGGGGGTCGGGGGGCAGTTAGGTTTGTGTGTGTGTATGAGGTGAGACAAATGGACAAGGTGGACCCCAAATGCATGAAATAGAAGAACATGATGACTTCTAGATCCTAGGAGATCACTGGTGCTGATGGGAGGGCAATGGAAATCCAGAAGGCTGTGGGAAGCTCAGCCAGTGGGGAGGGGAGCAAGGGGAAGAGAGAGGACCCATGGAACTCTGCGTCTTAACTAAGGTCCGTGGGTGTTATCTTCACCTTTCTCAAGGGGTCTGTGGATTGGCTCAGTTGAACAAAAACAAGCAAAGAGGGAAACTTACCGACATGAGTCTGGTGTTAAATATTAGGTGTTTATCATGGTTAGCAGCTAAGGGGTGTTTGTGGACTTTGGGTAGTGGTTTCAGGAACAAGTAGGTGATGTCTCCACCAACCACATGGAGAAAGGAAGTTTCAACTAGACCAAAGGTGACAGGTTACAACTGGATTTCAAACAACTTATGTTTGAAAAATAAATGGTTACTAAAAATGGTTACTGAGGCAGCAAGTATATTAAAGAAATGTGTGACACAGCCAATAACTGGAAGAGTTTTCCATGTCTACCTGCTGGACGTACACAGTTTGAACTTTGTTTTTTATCTACTGCCTCTGTATTTACAATGCCAGGTTACTACAGGTCATTTTTATATAGAGACTGAACTTTGGGCCCTGAAAATTCATCAAAATAGTGTAAGTTACAAATACAGACTAGAAAAATATTGCTGGGAACCGTTTATATTTTGGATCAGTTATTCACAGAAATGACTACAAATCACATAATCAGAATGAATGTGTTCTCAACTCAATTCCCCTTTAGGTGGATCCTGAAAATATCTTTGGCCACAATAGTTCTTTAGTAGAAGTATAAATACAGCCACAATATATCAAGCTTATCAAGGTCACTGTAATTCATATATTTACTAATCATCTGATATACAAAGTACTGGGTATGAACACTGAGGTGAACAAGACATGAATTTGATCCACAGAGTTCCCTTTCCTCACTCATCATAAGGTTCAAGACCGACACTCCTATAAAGAGAGGCAGGTGTACCGGAGAAAAGCATAACACATTTATTTAATCCAAGTTTTAAATGATATGGGAGCCTTTGGAAATAAAGACCCAAAGACCCAGGGAAAATTGTCTATTTGCATGTTTAGGTTTGATGAAGAAAGGACAGCCACGAGGAAGAAACGTTAAAGTCTAACTTAAAATCTAACGTTGGAGAAAAGGTTATTAGCTAATGATAATAGATTGAGCAGAAACTCAGCAAGCCCACTCCAGATCCTTCTTGGCCTCTCTCCATAGCATTCTTCACCCACCTCTGAGTAGGCGGCAAGACTCCTCTGGAATGAGTGTCTGGAGGGAGAAGGGAGAGAGGGATCTTTCTAGGTTTTTCGGCTTGCTGTGGGGAGAGAAGTTTAATATTAGGTTGTTGCAAAAGTAATTGCAGTTTTGGCCATGACTTTTAACGGCAAAACCCCCACCTTGAGAAAGAGAAGTTCTGGTTTCTACCTCTCTTTTGTGGGTAGAAGGAGGAGAGAGAGACGACAGGACGGGGAAGGCCCGGGAGACCGTGCTCTGCAGCCTTTCCAGTCTCCTTCAGCTTATGGTGTGCAGCAACGCCAAGGCATCGTCCTTCGGGGTGTCGTGTTCTGAGCCTCAACAATTGTATGCATCCAAAACCCTTTTGAAAGAATGAACCTCACTGCTGTCTCCCAGAAAATAATTTCATTTCCAAAGTGTGTTGGTCTGTGAGGCATCAGTTCAGCTACGACATGAGATAAAAACAATTCCAGTCCCCTTTGCTGCTTACTTAAGTTAGCGAGTTATTTGTACATATTATGGAAATGACCAGGTTTAGTGACAGGAGAGAATGAGCCAGAGAATTTGAACAGTAATTTAATTCCCACTGTCAGAATAGAAAGCTAATGATGGTATATTACTTAACACATGAGGGAACTGATGTATGAAAAAGTTAAATTACTCGTTCAAAATCACCTAGTTAGTAAGTGTTGGAACAGGGACTGAAGCGTTGAACCCAGATCTCCCTGGCTCCGATTCTCTGTTTCTTTTCCTGCTTCTTTTCACTGATCTGTGCTGCCCGCAGTGCTGGCTGGCACTGTTTGGCATACATGGTCTTTCTGAATTCGTTTGCTGTGCTATTCATTAAGCTGTTTATCCTAAAAGAGACATATGATGCCGATTGTTCTTGCGTTTGTTTGGCTTTGTTTCTTACGTTAGTTTCTGTCGTCTTAGAGGGTCATTTTCTAAATTAAGTAGCTTGATTTGATAACAGAAGCAGTAACAGTTTGCTCATACTTAAAAAAAAAAAAAGCCCCTCCCTTTCAGTGAGAGGCATACTAGTCTAAAAATAGCCTTTCCAAAATGTACCATATTATCTTATGCCATACTCTCTAAATTAATTGACAAGAAATTGATTATCATTCTTTTCATAGAAGGCTTAACTTTGAAAATCCATCACATGGAAATGGGTGTCTCAGGTTGTCAGAGTATTCACCCACACAACAGCCCGAAGGAATTCGGGAATTTTGTCAAATGCAAAGTTGCCCCTGAATCTGGTTCCGGAGACAAACCAGAAAGCTGGCAGGAGCACTCTTTGTCACCAAGAAGCTGGCAGTTTCCCTGCCTGATCTGGAGTTGAAAATGTTACGGTTTGAAACTTTGTGGCATTTTGTCTGAAATGAAATTAAAATAGCTACCTAGATATTCTGGTCTTCTATCTGGCATTTAATTAAGAGGATTTCAGTCACTGTTCCTATATAAATTGAAAAGCCACATCAGTCCTGTGAGCCCTGGAAATATGATCTTACGTGCAGGCATGTTTATGAGTAAATACATGTCTGGGGTACTAAATAGTATTTCTGAACCATGAACCTTAAACATTTGCAAGACATCTTACCATTTACAGAAATTGCAGAACAATATTTGGAGCACTGAAGGTTATCCCGTCCCTAAGTTAATGCTAATTATAGGACACGATTCCGTCGCTAAACTATAAAACTGAGAGATGAAGACGAAAAATGCAAACACGGCCACACAATGAGAGTAGACACTGCTTTCCTCTACTCAAGAGAGCATTTTAGAAAAGCGAAATTCTTGCTTTTACATATTCCCTTTGTATATTCATTCTTTTCCTTTCTTAGTACACTGTAAAGATATATTACTGGACTTCATACAGTGTTGTTTTTCAGATGTTGTATATTTCCTCTTACTAATGAGGACAGTGACAAGAAGTGGGGAAGATTTTCAGTCTTCTTGGAGATAAGCTGGATGTGACAAGTAAGTGTGATTTTGCTTGAATTGTCTAACCTCTCATACTGGGCTTTAGTTAAATGTCAGGGGTAAGTGATGAATAAATGTGAAATCAGACGAACATTGGAAAGAAAATGGTATCTGGAATTAGTTGGGATGAATCTTTCTCAATGATGAAAACAAAAATACTGAGCTCATACCACAGCTGAGTGGACTAAAATTGTTCCTGCTCATGAAGGGCCCAGTGCAGTTTGGATTCTTAATAAATATTTAGGAACAGTGAGTAGCTGTCACTGCCAACCCACTCCTAGTGCCACCATCACCAAGGCACCCTCACCAGCACCATCGTCCAGGAATCAGGGGAGCCAGTTTCTCAGGATGGATTACCACAGCAACCAATGGGAACCAAATTGGAGGGAGGTCGGTCACATCAAATGTTCACCTTTCCCATGGTACAAAATGTATTGTCAGCCTTATTATTATTAGGGTTTAGGGCATAAACCCAAAAACAGGACTACAGGAGACCAGAATACATCACCCCTCAACGTACCACCCTAGCATATTGATTACTTTGAAGAATTTGAGAACGAGCCAACACAGGGAAAGCTCCTCACATCCTTCTCCACTGCAGAAAATAAGGTATAAAAAAGGAAATGTTCGTTAGCAAACGTGCCCACACCAGGAAGAAAGCTGCTCTAAGACAGCCTTTCTCATCTGCAGGACTTTTATCTGCATAACAAGAAAACCCCCGTTCTCCATACCTTCCTCCCCTCATCCTCCTGTGACTTCTCCCCACCATCTCTGAGGTTTTCTTGTTATGCAGATACAAGCCCTGATTCCTTTCCATAGCGCTCGGGAAGCTCAACCATTTGGCACTGCTTTGAGTCTCCTGTTTATGGGACTCTCATGCTTAGTATGTAATTAAAATTATTTGTCTCGTATTAATCTTAGTATTCATGTAATTTGTTGCTCAGCCAAAGAACCTAGGAGGGTGGAGAGGTGTCAATTTCTCCTCCACTACATTATCTACTTTTACAAATGCAGAAAGCACATCTCAGTTTTATTGCTTCTATCCTGAGGTTAATCTGTCCATTTTATACAAGGAATAGGGCCAGCCATGTCCATGATGGGCATTGCAAAGATGTCCTGGACACACAGTGTGTCCAGCGTCAGGAAGTAAGTTTTTACAAGAGAATCCTTCAGCAATTTTCTGGGAATCTCTTGCAAAATAAAGGACTCAGATGGAAACCATTTCCTGTAGTCTGTGATTAAGCTTTAGGCCCACTGTGACAAGTATCTAGTAAGTAAGTCACAGAAAATGCCATTTCACTTACGTTGGGTGGATTCCTGGATTTCCCCAGCTGGCCTGCACATAAGAAAGGTGTGAAAACTGTTCCAACTGCTTGAGTTTTAAACATTGAGTGAGCAGTGACTTTGATTTTATTCTGCTCCTTTCAGACTGCCAGATTCCCCATTAATTTTTAAACTGCAGAATGAATTCTAAAAGCCACAGTGGCAGTGTATGGAATGCTTTGTCGTAGCTCACACTCAAATACTCTTGCACCTGTAGAAAAACAAGTAGGGGTTTTGTTGCTTATGATACACGTTGACCCAGACTGTGAGTCGTGTTTTCTTCACCTACATTCTTTTAGACTGCCAGGAGACTCACTTGTCTCCTTTTACAAAGGACCAAAATTAAGTTTATTGTGAGCTCCTGTCAACCTAAAATGAGCCACAGAAAGACTGACTTTCCAAAGCAAAGAGCTTATTCAGGAACTGCAATCTGGGATACCAGTGCTGTGGCAGACCATGAGGGCATTCGAGAGGGTAGGGCACAGGAGCATCTATGAAAGACAAGAAGTCCATGTAAGCTTTTTTTGAAACAAAGATCTTGGAACTGGTTAATGGGTACAATGTAGATTATTCAGGTGATGGATACCCTAAAAGCCCTGACTCGACCACTACGCAATCTATGCATGGAACAGAATTGCACATGCGCCCCATAAATGTGTACAACTTAAAACGAGAACCAAATAAAACAGAGAGCTTTGGTTACAGGAGCTTGTTGTAGGAGTTAGCATTAGCTCATTGGTGGAGATAGCATTTGTAGGCACGTGCCACTGTGCAAGTGCCTTACCTGGAACACAGCAGTTTTGAGGAATTCCTTACATAGTTCCCGTCATACATACACATGTAAGAGGGCTCCTCCTGCATGGTCGGCCGGCTCTAATTTGTTAGAGTTTCACATTAATGACTTCATTTTGATATTGGTAACTTTCACGCCCCCATAGGAAAATAAAATTCTCAAATCTAGGGCTGCAGGTAAATTAAATTCCTATTTATTAATATGGTATGATCGAATAAAAATGTCGTTTCATAAAATATGTACTTAAAATATTTCAGTAAGCATTTCAAAAATGTAATTTTTCAGATTCTATCATTTAAAAACCAATCTTTTTTTTTTTTTTTTTTTTTTTTTGGCATTTGGGATAGCCACAACAGCACATCAGTCTATCAGCTAAAAAGTCTAGGTCATAGAGCAGATAAAAATGGAAATATTCAAAATGTTGCTGTAATGGTAAAGATCTTCAAATTAATCATTTGTGGCATGACCAAATACATGCACGTTTCTCAAAAATCTAGTGGTGTGCTCTCTCCCCTGTCTTATGAAAGTCATATGGAGAATAAAGATTACATCATAAACTATTTTTAGTCAAGTGTTCATCTATTCCTTTTTTTTTTCTTTTTTTTGAAGTGGATTCTGGCTCTGTAGCCCAGGTTGGAGTGCAGTGGCATAATCTTGGCTCACTCCAACCTCCACTTCCCAAGTTCAAGCGATTCTCCTGCCTCAGCCTCCCTAGCAGCTGGGACTACAAATGCCTGCCACCATGCCCAGATAATTTTTGTATTTTTAGCAGAGACGGAGTTTCACCATATTGGCCATGATGGTCTCGACCTCCTGACCTTGTGATCCACCCGCCTCGGCCTCCCAAAGTGCTGGGATTACAGGCATGAGCCACCACACCCAGCCCATGTATTCCTTTTTTTAAGCAGACATCTGAGTGTCTTCCAAGTGCCAAATGCAATGTGAGGATGCTGGTGGAGGAGGAGTGGGGTCTGTACTTGTTCCCTTGAGAAGCTCACTGTATGGGAAGAGAAACAGTCATGTAGATCAGTCATTAGATACAAGATGTCAAGGATTGTAAGGATGAGGATTCTTGCATTATCCTCTAACAGAGGAAAGACTGATTCAGTCTACAAAGTTGTGAGATAGGATAATTCCCTTAACCCCCTTCGTGGGCAGGAACTGGAGTTGTTCGCTTCACTCAACCTACCGCTGGCCACTCCTCGCAAGAGGGAGAGTGTAAGCAAGTGAGTGTGAAAACCAGAGCAAAGGAATGTTGGAGCCATCTGGTCACTCCTCTCTGGTGGGAGCAGGCTCTGTGTGGGCCCCACAGCAGCATCCAAGTGCATTACAACCAGTACTTTCTTTCAGCTCTGCCACCTAGGGATGACCAAGTGCCAACCAGCTCAGTGGAGGCTCAGGGTGGCAGCCCCTGCCCTTTTGGCACTGGGGTTCTTGTCTGGTATCCAAGAAGAATCAGATCACATGAACAAATTGAAGGGTAGTGTAGGCAGTGGATTTTATTGGGCGACGGAAGTGGCTCTCTGAGGGATGTAAAGTTAGAAAAGTGATGGTGTGGGAAGAAAGTGATCTTCCCTGAAGCACAGCTGTCTACAGCCAAGCCCCTCTTTGAAGCTGCACAACCTGAAGTTAGCCATGTTTACCTGTGGTCTCCGATGCTCAGTTGCTTCTCTGCAGTCACTTGTATCCCTGATGCTCAGCCCCTTGTGTTGCTCTACCAGCTGAAGTCTTTTTACGGGCACAGGATAGGGGCATGGAAGGCCGAAAAGGCAACATTTGGGCAGAAAACTGGGGTTAGCGGTTTTCACTTAGGGCCACGGGTTCTAGGCACGGGTTCAAGGGTGGGGTTTAGGCCGGAGCCCAGCCCTTCTATATCAGTTGATTTTGAGAAGAGTGTATGGAAGATCTTTGAAGGATAAAGAATATCCCATTGAGATTTGAGGCAAACAGTCTCGGATGAGCGATCATGAATATTAGAGATCTGGAAACATCTGGCCTGTCAGGCTGCTGTGAATGACCCTGGTGGGGCAGGACGGTGGTTGTGCAGAAGTGAGGAGGGGAGGAGAGGAGGGCGGGAAGGTGAGTATGGTGTGATCCCAAGGTGTGAGGACTGTGGTCCTGGGAACATCCTTGAAAGTTGGTGATTCCCACAGCATCGTGGAAGAGAGACTGCAGGCCCAAATAGAAGATGGACACTCAAACAAGGTGATCCCAGAAGGAATGAGTTGACAGGAGGCTTTCTGGAGCTTTTTGGAGAAAGATTGTGTGAGAAGTGCTGAGTAGTTGATTATGCCACGTAAAGTAGGAAAAAGACGCTGAGTTTCTAATTTGAATGAAGAGGTGCAAGGTGATCATCCACTAAGCCTCTAAAATAATGGGTGGGTGAAAGGGGGCCAAGAGAGGTAAAGAGAAAATGAACAACAATTTCTGTCTATTATTATTCTATGTTCTGTGGAAGAAAATAGAACCTTGGGACCCCAAACTCACTATGCTAAAGGGAAAGTTCAGCTTGGGAACTGAGTCACACAAAAACTGCTTTTTCTTTTGTTCCCAAACAGACAGCTGGTGTTTCACAACCCTGTGTCATAGCCTCATTTCCTCTACTCCCTCTTTTCGCATGTTAATTGATCTTATGTAAAATGTAGATTTACTGAATGCAAGACAATGCACAATTGACTTTTCCCTCTATTCACTCTTTTCACATGTAAAATGTAGCTTCACTGAGGCTAATCAGAGCCTCAGAAGAATGTAACCATCTGCCTCACTGCCTCCCCTCCCTCCCCTCCCTCCATCATTTTTTTTCCTCTCCTGCTTGCTCTTTCCCCCTTTAAATACTGAAGCTTCCAAAACCCACTTTGGAAAAAGCGCAGCTCACAGATGCTCTTGCGGCTTGTATGTTTTCTGGCCGTATCCTCAACCTAGGCTAAATAAACCTCTAGAGATTGAGACCTGCCTCAGTCCATTTGTGATTCACAGTTCTCAATAAAGGCCTGAAACGTAAAAGACTAAAGAAGGCAGGGATAGAGTTGCAGGTGATCTGTGTGCATGTGGCTTCATAAAATGAAAATGCGGCCAGTCACAGGAGAAAAGAAGAGGGCTAACTGCATCGGTCACTCTCAGAACTTTTACATCACTTCTCAAAGTGAAACCGCCATTGCAAAATTATGAGACAGTGAAAGAGATCTGACGTAACCAACTCCATCTTGCTTCTAACCTCCAAGCCGTCTTTATTCTTTCCTGGGCATAGGCTTAACTAACTTTGAGAGGAACTTAGTTTATAGTTAAAACAAAGTTGATAACAGCCCTTTCCCAAACTAAACTTCCTTCTTGCCTGGGGACTAGACTGCCTTTGTAGGACAAACAAATTAGACACTAGATTAGAAATTATGATTTAAGAGTCATGCCAGTGGAGGCTACAAGGTTCTGAGCCTCCCTGAACTGCTCCTAAGGTCAGTGCTTGAGACTTTTTGGAGACCCTGCACTTAATGGATCAGCTGGCACCACCCAGATGGATAAATTGGCTCATCTAATCTTGTGGCCCCCACCCAGGAACTGACTCAGCACAAGAGGACAGCTTCAATTCCCTTGACTCTTGACTCTTGACTCACTGGCCTTTCCCCACCCACCAAATTAGTCTTGAAAACACTGATCCCTGAATCATTGGGGAGACTGATTTAAGCAATAATTAAACTCTGGTCTCCCACACAGCCAGTTCCGTGTGAATTACTCTTTCTCTACTGCAATTCCCCTGTCTTGACAAATCCACTCTGTCTAGGCAATGGGCAAGGTGAACCCACTTGACACAGGCTTGACACAGACACTAAAACAAACAGGCTGCACAAAGATAGTAGTGATGCCAATTATTATTGGAGTGTATGCAATTTTTCATAGACATTTTAGGAAACACACAGTCTCCTGGGTTAGGATAACTTAACAGAAACAAAAAGACATTAATTTCTTTGGGATCATTTTGGAAAGATTGACCACAGACTGGTAAATTTAAGTACAGGCAAAAGAAAAAATTAGGTATGGGTTAGAAAAGATGTTCCACATCATATGTAATCAGGATATTGTAAATTAAAACAGCAATAAGATACCACGTCACACCTATTAAAATGATGAAACTCCAAAACACTGACACCAACAAATGTGGAGTAACAGGAACTTTTATTCATTGGTGGTGAGAGAGGAGAAAGGAAGGAAATGGTCAGGCAGTCAGTTAAGATGGGTTCTCAGTAAAATTCTTTCAAACAAAAGAACAGCCTAAAAAATTAAGCTGCAGGCATAGATAAGGGAACTTGCACAGAGGGGCTTGCCTAAGACATACCCACAACTGCATAGATAAGAAAGGCTACACAGGTGAATTGCTGAGATCCATCCCCTAACACGTGTGTAGTAAGGGGAACAAAGCAATATGGGATAACCCAAGCTAAGGGCCTGCATGCACACTAGGACGATAGGGTGGAGCTACCAGAAATTCACACCTTATGCAAATGAGATGCCCAGCACTCACTGGTTTCCTGTAAAAGCCTTTGCATGCAACTGTAAAAACAGCAACCGTCTTCTAGGTCCCTTCTCCATGGTGAAGTGTTTTCTTCTCTTGTTTATTTAACTTTCACTCCAACCTCACCCTTTGTGTCCATGCTTCTTAATTCTCTTGTTTGTGAAAGAGAAAACTCTGGGTAACATCTTATAATGAGAGACTGATACATTGTGAGGCATTGGTGAGACTGTAACACTGGTGAGAATGCAAAATGGTACGTCCATGTTGGGAGACAGTTTGGTATTTTCTTGTAAAACTAAGTATACTCTGGCTATGCCATCCAGCAATCACACTCCTTGGTATTTACACAAATGATATGAAAATTTATATTCACACAAAAACTGCACACCGATGTTCATAGAAGCTTTATTCATAACTGCCAAAGCTTGAATGCAGCAAGCTTGTCCTTCAGTAAGAGAAATGAATTAACAGACTGTGGTATGTCTATACGTTGGAATATTACTCACCAATAAAAAGAAGTGAGCTATAAAGTCATTGAAATATATGGAGAAAACTTAAATGCAGATTATTAAGGGAAATAAACCATTCTGAAAATGCTCCACACTGTATGATTTTGACTATAGGATATTTTCAAAAAGGCAAAGCTATGGAGACAGTGAAGAAAAAAATCAGTTGTTTCCAGAGGCTCACGTGGAAGAATGGAGAAATAAACAGGCAGAGCACAGGGGTTTTTTAGGGTTTCAGAGGCATTTGAACCAGAGCAACTCCATATTGAATAGAAGCTGCATAAAATATGGCTGACATCTGCTGGTCTGCATTACCAGGAGGTTAAGTCATTCTAAGTCACAGGATGAGATAGGAGGTCAGCACAAGATACAGGTCATAAAGACCTTGCTGATAAAACCAGTTGCAGTAAAGAAGCCAGTCAAAACCCACTGAAACCAAGAGGGTGGCAAAAGTGACCTCTAGTCGTCCTCACTGCTACATACCTGCCAGTACCATGACAGTTTATAAATGTCATGGCAATGTCAGGAAGTTACCCTATGTGGTCTAAAATGTGAGGCATAATTAATCCACCCTTTGTTTAGCATGTTATCAAGAAATAACCATAAAAATGGGAAACCAGCAGCGCTTGGAGCTGCTCTGTCTATGGAGTAGCCATTCTTTATTCCTTTACTTTATTTATTTTATTTTTTATGCAAAGTCTTGCTCTGTCACCAGGCTGGAGTGCCGTGGCACCATCTTGGCTCACTGCAACCTCCACCTCCCTGGTTCAAGCGATTCTGCTGCCTCAGCCTCCCGAGTAGCTGGGACTACAGGCACACAGCCCCACACCCAAATAATTTTTGTATTTTTAGTAGAGACGTGGTTTCACCATGTTCACCAGGATGGTCTCGATCTCTTGACTTCGTGATCCACCTGCCTCGGCCTCCCAAAGTGCTGGGATTACAGGCATGAGCCACCGTGCCTGACCAAGAGATATTATTAATAAATAGACTAAAATGGGGATGGGGAGGAACAGATATACAGGAACTCTCTGTACTTTTTATTAAATTTTTCTTTAAACGTAAAACTGCTCAAAACGTAAAGTCTACTAATAACACATTTTAAAGAGGGATTGGTAGCAAGTCTTCACAACCTGGCTTTATTTTGTTTTCTCATGTCTTCTCTGGACTTTGACCTCTCTGGATTATACACAGCTTAAGTCATATAAAATCTAGCAAAACGCTGTTTCCTATGTTGTATGGAACACACTAACTCATTTGAAATTCATGCTTTTTAACTTTTCATCACAAAGCCCAAGCCTCGTGAGTATATTAAATCATTGAAATGTCTGTCTTTATTTTTCACACTATAAAAAATTGATTTTGATTTTAGTTTAAAAGTCAGCTTTAATCTAGGTTTAAAATCAGCTCCTAGATTTCAAATCAGCTTAATTTGGTGACTTCTTTAAAAAGTTTCTACTGATTTTCCAGTTTTTAGGCACTACTCATGAACTCACTAGTCTTCCAGCTTTTCATTCTGCACATTTTCTGATTACATCTTTTGCCTGGCTTCATATATCCTCACAGATTTGCAATATTTATTCTGATACTCTAGATAGTAACATTAATTCTTCTGCATTTTTAGATGTCCCAAATGTCTTCTTCTAATCTGTCCACAAACTTACATTTGTCAGAATAATCCCATAAACATAAGTCCTTAATTTTGATGTGTTCCTGTCCATCAATATATTCTAATTTCCTTTAAATTTTTGCCTTTTACACTGATGTCTCTTGTATAACCAGTGTCCATGCCTGTATATAATATGACTTGGATACAAAACAACCAAAAAGTCTTTACTCCAATTGTCAATCAAACTCAAAAGGCTCCATTAGGCTTAGCACCAAGTTTATTTACTAAGAACCCGAGAAACGGGGAGCAGGACGGTGTGCAGGGAACCTGCACGCATGGCCTGGAGACTCTCAGATGCAGAGCCAGAAGTCCGCTCAGATGCAGAGCCGGAAGTCCACTCAGATGCAGAGCCGGAAGTCCGCTCAGATGCAGAGCCGGAAGTCTGCTCAGATACAGAGCCGGAAGTCCTCAGTCCCCTTACCCTCGTGAATACCAGTGGGGAGGTTGGCAGGAAGCTAATGTGATTTCTAGGACATTTCAGCGTAGAAACGCCATGGAATCCAGGTTCTGTCAGCTTTAACGTCTATCTAGCGACTGAATTCAGCTGAATAACCAGCTCCCTTTCCATCAGTTATGCAATAGAGCACCTGGCTGCGTGGTACAGCAGGTTAAGGAATGTCTGTGAATCTCTCATCGGTTCACAGCCAACCTACTGAACTCTTACGTGTTGATATTTCGAGGTTTATACCGTGTAAGGGTCATATTCTCAATGCTGAAACACAAACTATTGTCCAACTATTTTAACATTTTTTTTTCCGTAGAAATTCCATTTTACTCTTTTTCACATTATGATGCATTTTCCCTAACACTATCCATTAAATCATTCTCCATTTTCACTCCTTCTTGGGCCATTTCTATACAAGCTTCCTTTGTGTTTGTGATTATTCTGTATAATCAGCCATATTTCATTTTCCTGCACTAATTTGGCAGATTTACTACTATTACTATTACTGTTAATGATATCTTCCTTTCAGAATGTTTTTCTAAATAATTATTGGTGATCATCTTGTACTTGAAAAAATTGCTGAACTCTATAATTTGTTTTAAAAGTGTATCTAATGATTGTCTTTAATAATGCTAATTGTTGATTCCCTTCTGTTTTGGCCTGGGATTTCCAGAAAGCAGCAGCTAAGGTAATAGTTTAGGGGCTAATAATTTATTAGGGAGTGCAATTCCAGGAAGAGAATTAAGGGCCAGCGAGAGTGAGACAGAGAAGGATGGAGAGCCAATGTGGCACTCTTGGACATACCTGGCTGCCACGAAGTATAACTGATTGCTGATCCTGTGATTTTTTTTTTTTTCTTCAAGACGTTATTTAAGTTGCATTTTAGGGAATAAATCCAGAGGAGGAAAGGGAAAAACAAATAATTCATTGGCTCTCATTCTGTGGGGAAGGGAAAATAGCTTCTCCCCAGCCTTCTAGGTACTTTGGCTGCGTTATGAATTAAATTGACATAAGACAGATTTACCTGAGAAAACCCATATTTAATTATGTACTTAAACTTGAGCGTCTCACAAAAATAAGAGACTTGAGGAAGGGCCAGATGTTTGAAGCTTATACAGCATACTGAGCTACACAAAGAAATAGGGGCTTAGGGTTTCTGGCAGGGCATGGGGACTAGCGGTGGGGGTTGGAGACAGGAGAGGGCAAGGGGAGGAAATATATAAATATATGGTAAGTAAAGATTGCCTTGTTATGCAGATGAGACTCTCAGGTGATAAAAGTAGCCCAAAGCAGCTCTCTTCCTGGTATGGACACACTTAGTAAAAAATATTTCCTTTATAGATATAAATTTCTTGGCCAGGCACTGTGGCTCAAACCTATAATCCCAGCACTGTGGGAGGCCAAGGTGGATGGATCACTAGAGGTCAGGAGTTCGAGACTAGCCTGGTCAACATGGTGAAACCCCGTCTCTACTAAAAAATACAAAAATTAGCTGGGCGTGGTGGTGGGTGCCTGTAATCCCAGTTATTTGGGAGACCAAGGCAGGAGAATCTCTTGAACCTGGGAGGAGAAGGTTGCAGTGAGCCTAAATCATGCCACTGCACTCCAGCCTGGGCAACAGAGGGAGATCCATCAAAAAAAAAAAAAAAAAAAAAAAAAAAAAAAAAATATATATATATATATATATATATATATAAATTTATTTTACAAAGGAGAAGCTTTTCAGAGTTTCTGTAGTTTCTCAAAATAACCAGTGAATAGTGAATATGCCTAAAAGCAATATTTTGGGGTGGTGTGTGAGCCCCAATACTTCCCATTGACCAGAGCTTACACAAAGGTGCATTAACTTCCCTGAACTTACACATTTTGCCTGTTTGAGCACCAAGGAAGTCTTTGTGGCATAACCTTACATCTGGTTAAGTCATTCTTTGCTCTAGGCAAAATGAGAATATTTTTCTCTAGCAAAATCAAAGAGAATCCTTCTACTAAGGTTTCAGCAGAATCTCAGTATTTAAGACCCCCAGGTATCCCCATCCTGGGAGTCAGGACTTCAATCTCTCCACATCAGGGCTCTGATTTTGACTTTGGAAAATTGTGGTATTATGCAGCCAGTCTTTGCAGTCTGGCCACCACGCTGACAGACCCTGGGCATGAAGTTTATATAGTCGACTTTGCCCTGGGCAGCTGCAGGAGTTGACTTTCTTTCAAAGCAGTCATGAAAAGCCCCTTGGATGAGTTGGAAGTTGGCTGCCCAGAATGCATCGTTCTCTTTTATCTAGGATTCCAAGTGTAGTTACTATAAGCCAACTCACTGCACAATCCTAGTTATTTTCATTGCTCCCGATGCTGTTCAGGTGCCAGGGCTACCGTATATGCTAATGATTCACCCTGTGCCCATTTCTCATCAAGATTAAACACAGAAAAAAGCCTTTGTCATTGAAATGACACTGAATGCCAGCAGCAATCACTGTGGAACTAAGGAACCAAGACCAGGTTTTGAGTTGTATGTAACCTTGACACAGTTAAATAATCTAGCTAAAAATCTCAATGTGATGTTTGCATTCTGGGGCGAATCCTAACACGTCTCTTAGCATTGAGTTCTCAGAAAAAATCTAATGCAAGGGCTTATGTGCTATTCCTTCACAAGGTAATGTAATGTCAGAGATTAAGGTCAATAAGAAGGATAACGTGAAGGAAATAAATGGAGAATGAACGAAGTTAGGTTCAAGCTGGCTGCTGCTAAGTGCAACTGTGTGCTTGTCTGACGCAACATCCTCCAAAGAGGAATAAAAGGCATCACTGAGGAGTCTGTCTGGAGAAAGAAAGAGTGGATTTTATTTTCTGACTCCCATAGTTCATTAGTGAACGGCTTGCCACATGGGAGGTTAAATAACCCACATTTATGAATATCACACCCACAGTGCCGAGCAGGGACCATCATGTCCTGTGCTTGGGCACCAATAGGGAGCCCTGGGGCATCCAACAGAATGGAGCCCAGACACAGATGGGGCGTCCTCAGGTTACACCTGAGTAGGTTTAATGAAGGTTCACACAATAGGTGCCTGCAGTAGTGGCTGGAACATGAGGCATACAAGGCTGAGAGGACATGAAATGGCACATACTAAGTGTCTGAGATGTCTACTTGTTTTTAAACTCCTTTTATTGCATCTTTTTCTTGTTTTATTCTCCAGGCAAGCCCTTCACTGTTATGTTTAATGGCTATAGTAACAGCATGTGCTTTTTTCAAAATTATTATAGTACCCACAATCAGATTGTATCAAGTTTTGTAAGTGAGGTTTGCTGTAAGGTTTCTGTAAGTGCTTTTTTCTCACCTAAGGCAGTTTCTATCTTTGTTTTCTTTTCTGAAACTGTATATTAAATTTTATTTTTAAAATGTCTGCATCTACTCCCATCATTATGTGATTTTTTAAATATGTAGTCAATAGAAGGGATGAATTAAGTTGTTGGATTTACCTGAAGTTTTAAAATTCTTGAATTTCTGATATATACTTATGTTGATTGTAATAGTTTATTATTTGTTAATGCACCAATGGGTTTGGTGTAAAAATATGCGTGGGATTTTCAGGGCTATGCTATGAGTTCTTTTGTTCCTTATCTACCTCCGTAATCAAATCTATATTAAACTTACAAAATCAGTTGGTGACTTTCATTTTTGTCATTATGAGCAAATAAACTTTGTGAAGCAGAGGGTTTTCTATTCACTGAGGTGTTTTGGAGATTTCTTGTGCAACGCCTTATGGGAGTGGGGAATCTGATGAAGCAGGGGCTATGCTTTGATTCTCATTTAATGTCTTCATCTGCAGTTCGTCCTTTAAAGGTATTTACTTTTTCATTAACCAATTTTGGCTTCCCACCCCCCGAAAAAAAACCTGTTTTGTTTAGTTACTATCACCTGGCCTTCAGAATGCAGAGGGACTCATCCATTTATCCTCATCTCTTGCCTGTTCCCACACCAGCCACTCTCCGCTGACCCCTTCTTATCTGCTTGGCTGCTCATGTTTTCAATACACTCTTTCACCATCAATGAGAAAACAACAAATAACAAATTGAATGTATTTCAAATAAAAATAATTATTTTATTTAAGAAAATTAATGGCAAGCATGTAACTTGCAGAAGTTTTGTTGAAATTGACCATCCACCGTGAGGCTTGTGCTGATTGTTGTAACTGGTTCACATTAACGAAACAAAAATACAACTCTGGCTGGATGTGGTGGCTCATGCCTGAAATCCCAGCGCTTTGGGAGGCCGAGGCGTGTGGATCACTTGAGGTCAGGAGTTCGAGATCAGCCTGGCCAACATGGTAAAATTCCATCACTACTAAAGCTACAAAAATTAGCTGGGCATGGTGGCAGGCACCTGTAGTCCCAGCTACTGAGGAGGCTGAGGCAGGAGAATCCTTTGAACCGGGGAGGCGGAGGTTGCAGTGAGCCGAAGTCGTGACATTGCACTCCAGCCTGGGCGACAGAGCGAGACTTCATCTCAAAAAAAAAAAAAAAAAAGAAAACAAAGAAAGAAAAAGTCAAAAATACAATGCAGATAAAGAGGCAGCAACATCTACCTCGAAAGTTTGTAGATATTTTTAAAAGTCTGTCCCCAAAGTGATGGCTTATGTGTTGTCACTCTGAATCATTGTTTTTCACTTAGATAAATTAGTTCATCTCATTTGCAATTAAAAGTTTGTGTTGAAGTACGGAAGTGCAGGTATAAAAAGTCAGGGAATCATTGCTAATGTGTTGTGGCTGAACTTTGCAAACCTTAAAAAAGTTTCCACTTTAATAGCACTGTTCATCAAATAAAAAAAAAATCAGGCAAATTCCAATAGCAGTTCATGTACAGAAAAACAGGTAAAGCTCTTCAAAATTTATTTTGCTAAAGGTGAAAGCCGAGATTATTGAAAATGCTACTGTAAATCCTGAAGTTTAATGTCAAAGAAGAAAATTGGCTGTTTATGAAACATGAAAAACATACAAGACATTCTCTACAGAAAAACGTCATTGTAGAAAAGTAGTCTTACTAAATTAAGGAGGTTGTGTAACATAAATATATTTGAAATGAGTTGTGGTTGAAATTGTTCATAATGTCTTCCAAAACGCATCCAGAATCCAACAGAAAGAAATATAGATTTCAAACTCCACAAATACCCAGTTGACCCTTGAACAACACTGATTTGAATAGCATGGGTCCACTTATATGCAGGTGTTTTTTTTTATTTTTTTAAATATTTTTTTAACCAAACAGACAGGGAATACAGTATTTGTGGAATGTAATACCCACATATAGGGAGGACCAACTTTTACTGTATACACTCATGCACCCATGGCATCCGTGGCAGGAGTTGAGAATGTTCAGATTTTGGAATGGGATGCATCCTAAAATCAGTAGTTTACTTACACCGTGAGATGATGATATATGTATACATATATATGTATGTATGTATATGTGTATATGTATGTATACGTGTCTGTGTGTGTATATATATATGTATTCAGAGTAATTACACCAAGGAGGTCTATGTGATGATGGTGATGTTGAATACAAAATCAGCTTACTATTATATATTTCCTCTTTGCTGCTCATGATCAATTATGTTTTAAAAACCCTGTGCCTTCAACATCTACTTTACGAATCAGCTTCTGTATCCTAGATCAATATTGAAAATTTTGGTAACTAAGTTCTCCAAATTTTGGTTGAAGTTCATTAAAAATCAGTTGCAAAATATTTAAACAAATGAAGTACTAAACTTCAGCTTCTGATGGTTTTTAAAAGTTGGATTTATTTATAAAACAAATCTAGCAAACAGCATGGAGGCCCAAGCTACCTAGAATATTTACTCTTAGTATTCTGTAATTAGTCTATGGGATATCTTGATTTCTTTGATGAAACTTCTAATTTTAGTGGAATATATTTATAACCTGCACTGTAAAGGAATGGAAATGCAAGGACCCATGGTTTTCTACTATTGAAATTTGGTAAAACATTGGAAAGAATCCTAATAGAGAAAATCTATTAGATATGTTTTATTGTGTAAAAATGTCTCAGTGGAAGATATGAATATAAACAAAAGAGGAAATAGTGGCCAAAAATATGGTTTCTTAAATATTTACAAAATACTGTATTAACACATAAGAGAAATGAGAAAATTTAGGGTAATTCTTACGAGATTTTTCTGTTTCAGGATCCCATGCAGGATGCCACCTCACGTTTAGTGGCAAGGCATTTCCAGGCTTCCTTTGGCCTTCAAAGTTTCTCAGACATTCCTTGATTTTACTGACCTTTGCAGTTGGAAGAACAGTGGCCAGGTGTTTTGTGGAATGTGCCTCTCTTGAGATTATTTGCTTTTCTCATAGCTATGCTAGGACTGAGAGTCTCTGGCAGGAAGACTACAAGGATAAATTGCAATTCCCGTCATATCATATCAAGGGTACATGCCATCATTTTTATATAGCCTTAAATTTTTGATGTTTTCTTTGACCACTTGTCTGAGTTAGTGCCTGTCAGCTTTGCTTGGTATAAAATTATCGCTCTTTTCCTCTTTCTGTGCTGCAGTCTCCGGAAGGAAGTTGCACAGTGCACATATAAGGAGTGGGGATTTGGGATGCAACAACATCGGGGCAGATTATCAACCATTTGTAGTTCTTTTACATGGGGAATTTGTCAATTGTCCACCATTTATTTATTTAACTACTTATTTATAGCATTATAGATTCATAGGTATTTATTTTATAATTTAAATTGTAATCCAGTATGATTCTATTTATTTGTTGGTCAAATATTCCAACTTTAGAATTGGGGACTGTTTCAGTTGTCTCCTGTGTCCTTGACATAAGCCCTGATCTTTGTGAACTTTATATCTTTTCTGATTGAAAAAATTGTACATGTATAATCACACATTATATATTATATATAAATCAACTCATTTTTTAAAAGTCAGTGAATGTTCTTTATAATCTCATCCCAAAAAGTTGAGAGTAGAGACTATCAAGTGTCCTGTTTCTAATTAATATTTCGTGTATATTTTTCACTAAATGATTTTCTTCTTTATTTTTTTATTTCTGGTGCTTCTCATTCCTTCTAGAAGTTTTGATTTTCCATCTGTTTTCCTGTTTCCATTTCTCTTCAGCCTAAGGTTTTTTTTTTAGCCTTTCTAGTGGCACAACTCTCTCTCTGCTGAGATGGATTCTGTAATTCTACCATTGCTGGGCAAAGTTTTTTTAAAAATATTTTATCTTCACTATTTAAGGATATTTTTGCTGGGTATATAAATCTAAGTTGACATTCTCTTTGTTTTTTCATCAATTTAAATATGCTGCCTCCAGTTTCTGACAGGAAGTGAACAGTAATTCACATGATTTTTCCTGTATGTGCTTCTTTGTCTTTTTTTGATTAATATACAGTGAAATGCACAGATATTAGCCATAAACTTAAAGTTTGGTAAATTTGTATGTCCATGTAACCATCACCTTGTTAAGATATAGAACATTCATGTCAATTATGAAAATTTCTTTATGCTCTCTTGGAGAAAATTCTCAGTGCATTAAATCCATTCTTCTGATCTCTCTCTCTCCTCTCTCTCTCTCTCTCTCTCCCTCCTTTTTTTTTTTTTTTTTTTTTTTTTTTTTAGATGGAGTTTCGCTCTTGTTGCCCAGGCTGGAGTGCAATGGTGTAATCTTGGCTCACCACAACCTCCGCCTCCAAGGTTCAAGTGATTCTCCTGCCTCAGCCTCCTGAGTAGCTGGGATTACAGGCATATGCCACCACATCCAGCTAATTCGTATTTTCAGTAGAGATGAGGTTTCTCCATGTTGGTCAGACTAGTCACAAACTCCTGACCTCAGGTGATCCACCCGCCTCGGCCTCCCAAAGTCCTGGGATTACAGGCGTGAGCCACAGTGTCTGGCCTCTTCTGATCTCTTTAACCAAGAGTTGTCCTGAACTTTATATAAATGTTCTCCTTTTGCATCTAACATGATTTTTTCAAAATAATGTTATTTGAGATTTGTGCATGCACCTGTATGTATCAGTATTGTGCTTGTTTGCTTGTTTTATTGGTGAGCTGTATTTTCCCATGTGACTATCCCACAATGTGCTTTATACAACCTTAATTTGATGGATATTTAGCTTGCTTTTATCTTATAACTGTTGTATTAGGTTTATATTGCTGCTGTAACAAATTACCATAAACTTATTCTAAAACCAATACAAATTTATTGTCTTGCAATTCTGTAGCTCAGAAGTCCAGCACAATAGCATTGCTATAAGATTAAAATATGGGTAGGTTGCACTCCTTTCTGCACTCCTTTCCTAAGGGAGAATCATCGTCCCTGCCTTTGCCAGCCTTTGGAAGCACTCACAGTTCTGTCTCACTCTGTTATCCAGGTTGGAGGGCAGTGGCGTGATCTCGGCTCACTGTGACTTCCGCCTCCCGGGTTCAAGCGATTCTGTTGTCTCAGGCCCTCGAGTAGCTGGGATTACAGGCACGCGCCACCACGCCCAGCTAATTTTTGTATTTTTAGTAGAGACGGGGTTTCAACATATTGGCCAGGCTAGCCTTGAGCTCATGATCTCAGGTGATCCTCCCACCTCGGCCTCCCAAAGTGCTGGGATTACAAGCGTGAGCCACCGTGACCGGCCAGTTCTAGCTTTTTTAGGTAAGTCAAAGATACATTTTAAATTATATGAATTATTTTCTAGTATAGAGTTTGATAGTGGTCAAAGACTTTACTTTCCCCATTGAATTGCTTAGGTGTCATCTTTGTGTGAAACGGTTGCTAAATTATCTTCACTCCTCTATTGACCTACGTACTTGGCCTTATACCAACACTACATTATTTTCATTGTTATGTCATTATACTAATCTTGAGACAGTGTGAAGTATAACTGTAAGTCTCAAAACATATTCTTTTTGCAAAATTGTTTTGGCAATTTTATATTGTCTAAATTTACAAACTGATTTGTCAATTTCTAGAAAAGGTCCTGCTTAGATTGTCTTTGCAATTACATTGAATGTATAAATAAATATAGAGAAAACTAACGTTTATGGAAGTTGATCTTTCTAATAAATGAAATGGTTTATATCTCCAAGTATTTAAGACTTTTAAAATTTTTCTCAGCAATGTCTGTAGTTTAGAAGGCTTAGATCTCACATATTTTTAAAAAAATCTCTCCTATTCAAACAAATGGAAGAACATTCCATGCTCATGGGTAGGAAGAACCAATATCATGAAAATGGCCACACTGCTCAAGGTAATTTACAGATTCAATGCCATCCCCATTAAACTACCAATGACTTTCTTCACAGAATTGGAAAACACTACTTTAAAGTTCATATGGAACCAAAAAAGAGCCCACATTGCCAAGTCAATCCTAAACCAAAAGAACAAAGCTGGAGGCATCACGCTACCTGACTTCAAACTATACTACAAGGCTACAGTAACCAAAACAGCATGGTACTGTTACCAAAACAGAGATATAGATCAATGGAACAGAACAGAGCCCTCAGAAATCATGCCACATGTCTACAACCATCTGATCTTTGACAAACCTGACAAAAACAAGCAATGGGGAAAGGATTCCCTATTTAATAAATGGTGCTGGGAAAACAAGCTAGCCATATGTAGAAAGCTGAAACTGGATCCCTTCCTTACACCTTATACAAAAATTAATTCAAGATGGATTAAAGACTTACATGTTAGACCTAAAACCATAAAAACCCAAGAAGAAAACCTAGGCAATACCATTCAGGACATAGGCATGGGCTAGGAACCTTCACGTCTAAAACACCAAAAGCAATGGCAACAAAAGCCAAAATTGACAAATGGGATCTAATTAAACTAAAGAGCTTCTGCACAACAAAAGAAACTACCATCAGAGTGAACAGGCAACCTACAGAATGGGAGAAAATTTTTGCAATCTACTCATCTGACAAAGGGCTACTATCCAGAATCTACAAAGAATTCAAACAAATTTACAAGAAAAAAACAAACAACCCCATCAAAAAGTGGGCAAAGGATGTGAACAGACACTTCTCAAAAGAAGACATTTATGCAGCCAAAAAACACATGAAAAAATGCTCACCATCACTGGCCATCAGAGAAATGCAAATCAAAACCACAGTGAGATACCATCTCACACCAGTTAGAATGGCAATCATTAAAAAGTCAGGAAACATCAGGTGCTGGAGAGGATGTGGAGAAATAGGAACACTTTTATACTGTTGGTGGGACTGTAAACTAGTTCAACCCTTGTGGAAGTCAGTGTGGTGATTCCTCAGGGATCTAGAACTAGAAATACCATTTGACCCAGCGATACCATTACTGGGTACATACCCAAAGGATTATAAATCATGCTGCTATAAAGACACATGCACATGTATGTTTATTGTGGTACTATTCACAATAGTAAAGGCTTGGAACCAACCCAAATGTCCAACAATGATAGACTGGATTAAGAAAATGTGTTAATGGGTGCAGCCCACCAACATGGCACATGTATACATATGTAACAAAGCTGCACATTGTGCACCTGTACCCTAAAACTTAAAGTACAATAATAATAAAATTTAAAAAAAAAGAAAATGTGACACATTTACACCATGGAATACTATGCAGCCATAAAAAATGATGAATTCATGTCCTTTGTAGGGACATGGATGAAGCTGGAAACCATCATTCTCAGCAAACTATCGCAAGGACAAAAAACCAAACACCACATGTTCTCACTCATAGGTGAGAATTGAACAATAAGAACACATGGACACAGGAAGGGGAACATCACACACTGGGGCCTGTTGTGGGTTGGGGGGAGGGGGGAGGGATAGCATTTGGAGATATACCTAATGTTAAATGATGAGTTACTGGGTGCAGAACACCAACATGGCACATGTATACATATGTAACAAACCTGCACGTTGTGCACATGTACCCTAAAACTTAAAGTATAATAATAAAAAAAAGTGCATGAAGAAAAATTAAAACAGAAAAAAAACTCTCCTAAATATTTTATGATTTATAGCACTCTTTTAAATTGATTTTTTAATGTTTCAATTTGAATGTTTATTTCGTTTTAATTTTTTGCCTGCAAATAAACAGAAATAGAATTAATTTTATGTACTGACCTTTCACAACTTTGATAAACTTACTCATAGCTCCTAGTATTTATAGTGTAGATTTAGTATGGTTTACATAAACAATTATGTTGTTCGTGACTCTAGTTTTATTTCTTTATTTCCAAACTGCATTCATTTAATTTCATTTAATGCATGATTCCCTGGCTATCAACTCCAGTACAATATCAAGTAGAAGCAGTGAGAGCAGACATATTTGTCTTTTCCCCAGTAGTCAATATTTCATCACTGTTGCCTATAAGATTTTTAGATATGCTTTATCTTATTACACCTATTTTGCTGAGATTACATTCTTGTCAATAATTTTGTTTGAAATATGATGATATTAAGCATCTATTCAAATTATCATATTGTGTTCATATTTGTTCTATTTACATAGTTATATTAGTTTTTAAATTATGAACTATTACATTTTCCCTCAGATAACCCCCTTTGATCATAATCTGTCAACATTTTTATTAGTTGTGGATTTCAATATTTTATTACTTTGTTGGTGATTTCCATGAATACGATCGAATGTTATGGGTCAATGGTTTTCTTTTCTTCAAATGCATTTTAATGATTTTGCTATTAAAGCAATAATGTTCTCATAAAATGAATTGGGGAGTATTTCTTCTTCAATATTTTCGGAGTAACTTGTGTAGAGTTGATGTTATTTCTTCAGTAAACAGTTACAGAATTCACCAGGGAAACCATCTGTGCCTGGTGTTTTCTTTGTGGCAAGCTTTTAAAAAAGATTTCATTTATTTAATACATTTAAGACTATTCAGACTATCTATTTCCTTTTGATTCAGCTTTAGTAGTTTGGATGTTTCAATAAATGTATCTATTGCATACAGATTTCAAATCTGGGGGCATAGAGTTAATAGTACTATCCCTACATTGTATTTTTACTGTCTGTCGAGTTGGGAGTGATAAGCTCTCTTTTCTTCATGATGTTTATAATTTGTGTCTTCTCTCTGTTCTTTGTCAGTCAGGCTGTTGGTTTATTAATGCTATTGATTTTTAAAGAACCAGCTTTTAAAAAAAACTTCTTTTCCTATTGTTTTTTCATTTTACGTCCCACTGATCATTCCTCTTATCTTCATTAATTCCATCATTGGACTTGCTCTGTGTTCAATTTGTCCCTTTTTTCTTGTTATTTAAGATTGAAAGTTGTCATTAATTTAAAAATCTTTTCTAATGCACATGGAATGAAACACGTTTCCCTCTAAGAAGTGCTTTAACTGTGTTCTGTAAATCTAATATGTTGTGCTTTTATTTTCATTCAAATCAAAGTACTTCTAGTTGTCTTTGTGATTTCTTATTTGACCCATAGGATTTTTATAAGAATCCAAACAAATAAATTCTCATTCCTATTTTGTACCATGTAAACAGTTTAACCAAAATTGTCGAAGACCTAAATATAAAAATTTCTAAAAGAAAAGGTTGAAAAAAATCTTTGTGACTTTAGGTTAGGCAAAGATTTTTTTAAATGAAATTGTGTGTGTGTGCGTGTGTGTGTGTGTGTGTGATGTCATCAAAAGGACAAACCTACTCTTTGAAAGACAGTATTTAAAATGTTAGAAGAGAAAGCACAGACTAGAAGAATATGTTTGCTAAAGAAACATAAACAAAGGTCTTCTCTGCATAGTATAAAAAATCTGTCATAATGCAATTAATTATGCAAAAACAAATTAATACAATAAAAATATTAAAAGACTGCATCAAAACAGATACACAGACACTAAAAGATTATATGATAAGATATTCAATAAGATTAATCATAGGGGAAGTTGAAATTTAAGATACAGTAAGATATCACTATACATATATCAAAACGGCTTTAAAAGTAAAATACCAGGTAAAGTATATATATCAACTGGAATTCTCATACCTTGTTGCAAGAATAAAAAATGGTTCACTCAATTTAGAATATAGCTTAGCAGTGTCTTATAAAATTAGAAATGTATTTACCATATGACCCAATGATAGCACTCATAGCTATTTATCCAAATAAGGTTAAAAATTATTCTCACAGTAACACGTATACGTGAATTCTGATACAGGCTTTATTCATGATCATAGAAGTACCAGGTTCTAAAATCCACCCTGTATTTTGTGTCTAAAAACGGACAGAAAAGAGTATAAAGTCACAACCCATAGGTCTTAGACCTGCAATTCATCCAGAACTAGATGCTTGCAACTAAACGCTAGTTTCTTTCTGGCAGTGAGATCCAACTAGCCTGCCATGTGGCTGCCACATCTAGTGACCCTCTCCCACAACTTGACTTTCCCAAACCTACAAATTTAGGTATTCCTGGATTAGAATTGCTGATTACCAAGGTGAAATACTTCCACCCTAGGATCAGATTCGATTTTCATAGAACTCAAAGCTAAGAAACTTTGCCTGGTGGAACACATTTGTAATAATTTTATAAATCACCATGTCTACCGATTTCTTCACTTCTGTGTCTATTTTTATTTCAGATTTGTCTCCTGGTTATGGATTATATATTTCTGCATTGTTGCATGCCTGGTAATAGCTGACTGAATGACAGACATTGTGATATTCCATCGCTGGGTGTTGAGTTTTGTTCTATTGTTTAATAAAGTTAAATAAACTGTGTTCTGATATTCCACTAAGTCACTGAGAATCACTTTGACTCATTTAGTGCTTGCTTTTAAGCTTCATGAGTTCCACACTAGAGAATCCTTCATCCTTGAGCTACTGCTGCCCACTATTATCCTTGGGAGGGCTGTACCAAATGCTTTGTGTATTTTAATACCTACATTTTGTCTGGTAGCAATGTAAACTGTTTTCATTTTTCCGTGGGACTTGAGAATTATTCAGCACACTTCTTTTCAGGGTTCTTTTCCTAGTATCATTGAACTTCTCCTCAAACCTGTGGAATTTGGTATTCAAATAAAAATTTCAAAAGACCCTTTTGCAGACCTTTAATGTTCTCTCTGTGTCCAGGTGCCTCCCATCTGGTGTTCTGCCTCATAAAATCGAACCACCTCAGCCTCAGTGAACTCTAATCTATGTCCCATCAACGCTGTGAAATTAATGGTCCATACTGAGTTTGGTTTGTTTTTCATGTACTCTGGTTTAGAAATTGTTTCTTAATATTAAACTGGGGCTGACATAGGACTTTTCTCATTGATTCCTCTTATCTGAAGAATCACATCCCTGTTTTGCCTGTTGCCTTATTTATAAAAATAGCCACTTTGAATATTCTGTATAGTTGTCTAGTTGTTTACCATAGGAAAGTAATTTTCATAACAGCGATTGTTCATGGAAGCTGAAGTACATCATTCTGTATTTTGATTTAACATGTATTATAAAACCCCAATTAGATGTTATTGTTTTATATTTCAAAAGGCACTTACAGTTAGAAGAGGTGTTTAGATATTTTATTTTTTAAAGGAATTTAAAAAGTTGAGAAACTTATTTTTTATGAAAAATGATTGAAAGTTTAATTTGCTGTTTATGTATAATTAATGGTCTAGGAATTCACCAACAGGCAAGTTTATTTACTTGCCTATGTGTTTTTGCTTTTACAATCAGTTTAACTACACGTAAACATGAGAATGCCGCATTGTTTTTGTTTCTTAATTCCTGCTTATTTGTGCTCAAGATTATTTGGATTTGTGCATCTCATTGTGAGTGTTATTTTTACTCAGGGAGAAGCACCTTTTAACATCCAAAAAAGGCTAATCTTCAAAAGTTTCCTCATAAAGCAGTGGCAGAAGTGTGAATTCTGAGACTGCAAAGATATTACATAAGAAGAGTATGATAACAGTGGGAAAGCATGGACAAAATTCTCTTCTTGTTGCAGATACATTTATTTATTTATTTAGAAACATTGTCTTGCTCTGTCACCCAGGCTGGAGTGCAATGGGGCGATCTCAGCTCGCTGCAACCTCTGCCTCCCGGGTTCAAGGAATTCTGCCTCAGCCTCCCTAGTACCTGGGATTACAGTACAGGTACGTGCCAACACGTCCAGCTAACTTTTGTATTTTTAGTAGAGATAGAGTTTCACCTTGTTGGTCAGTCTGGTCTGGAACTCTTGACCTCAGGTGATCCATTCACCTTGGCCTCCCAAAGTGGTGGGATTACAGGTGTGAGCCACCATGCCCAGCAGGCAGATATACCTTTAGAAAGAAAATAAGCACTACAAGTAAAGCTAAGGCCCCTTCCCAAAACCATTTTCCTAGCCTCTTCACCATAAACTCCCTCACCATAAGCAAATATCCTCACGAATTTCACATTTTTCCTTTCCAAGAGCAAAGTACTTGAAACAATGCCAGGAACATAGTAACTGCTCAGTAAATGTTTGGGATACTTTATTCAAAATATTACTTATTTTAGAAGTATTTGAATTTTATTATTCTCTGCAGCTCACTTTTCCTTGTTCCATACTTTGTGTCTGAGATTACCAACATTGACACAGTAATTTATAATTTACATCTTGTAGCATGTGTTCACAATTACTTTGTATAAAATGCCAATTTATTTATGCATTCTCCTGTTGAAGGACCCTGGATTGTTTTTTATTTTTATTTTTTTGATATTATAAACAACATTGCAACAAACTTTTGTATGCATCTTTTCTTGTGCCATTCACTTTTTTATTTCTGAGTATTACTCCTAATAATATAACTAAAACCTTGACTATCCTGGCTGTGGGATATAATCATCTTCCTTTTTTCTCAGTTTTGCCAAACTTCTCTCCAAAATGCCAGTCATAATTCAGGTCCACACTCGCAGAGTAGGAAAGTCCCTGTTGCTCTATATTGTTGCCAACGTGTTCTCAGGTGTTGTTATTCTAAAGCTATGTACAGGTATGTCTGGGGCACGAAGAATGAAGTGATTATCTCTGCAGGTCCTCCTGTTTTCAAGGAGACTTTGAATAAAGCAGAAATAATGAGCACCTGAACCAAGGCATCAACACGGGGCTGGAGAGGACTAGAAGCACTAATAAAGTCCAATCCACAGCTGTTATTAAAACTGTAAGCGGGAGGATAGAGGTCCTATTTCATGACTGAGGAGCTTTGGTGGATACTACAGCCACACATTTGGATGGAAGGTAGACGACCGGATAATTCTTGTGCTCTGAATGGAAGCAGTTTATTGAGTAAGTATATATTACACACAAAAACTTGAGAACAAATAAATGCAAGGGCCTTGGGTGCCGTAAGCTTCTTTTCGTTCCATGTAAATATGGCATATGTTCTAAGCAGACTAAATTTTCAGTATTATTCTATTTTAAACTTAGATCTTTCCTCAAGTTGGTCGGGGAGAATATTTCAGAGGGGAAATAGGAAGAAAGGTTATGATGATGAGATACCATGCACCTATAGATAGCACCTGGAGCTTTAAACCTACACAGCAAGTTTCCCCTACCAGGGGTGTGACTCATTTGGAAAAATAAATAGAACGGTGAACTTGCTACACTAATTATGGGAGTTCTCACTATAATTACCATAAAATTATAAGTTACAGTAATTTTCAGTACTCCACAGGGGAAAATGAAGTTACTTTGAATTGTAATGACAAATTAGATGGTAACTTATAAAAACATGAAATAGCATAAGCAATTTGAGTCACCGTAATATGTGCTATGTCTTGAAATGCATTCTTTTCATTAGCTCATTAAATAAAAACCATATGTCTGTGCTTGTATGCAGGCTTCCTCCCACCCCAGTACAATAAATGAAGAGACTCACAAGATTAAGGAGTGATAAGAGTACACCGCTTCAAAAAAAAACAAATCCTGTGCAAGGGGAATAGTGAGCAAATGAGGTAAGCTCGTTCAGCTTGCTGGTGTGTACACCACTCTCACCAGGAGAAATTCTTCATGGGTGTAAGCATAGGCTGCAGGAGGAGGACAGATTCACATGACATTTAGCCGGGCTGCTATCAGCGGCAGTCACAGTCATTTTTAAAGTCTGGTTCTGACAAATTTTAGCGTCAGCTTACATCAGATGAAGACTGTTTTTAGGTGAGCATTTTGGCGAGATAGAGAATAGTGGTTTCCACCAGAGAGACAGAAGTTTGAATCCTAGATTTATTATTTTCTCTTGAGTTTGAAGTTTTTTTTTTTTTTTTTTTTTTTCATAACATGGGACTGACATTCCCATTTCATAAAGCTGTTAGAGAAATTAAGTTAGGACATACAGAATGCCAAACAATGATCCTGTTGCACAATCAGTTTTTAATGAAGATGATCACATCACGTGGTCCTCCAAAATAGCTCTCAAAAAGGGCTTGGATTGCATAGAATTTTTCTCCTTAAAATCACAGGCAGGATCAGAACAGACACAGACACAGCTTCTCTGGATATTGATAGAACATTCCTTCCTGTAAAACGCTTCCTCATCAGCCTCTCTTCCTAGTATTTGAGGAACATGTGAGATAGTGAATGAAATAATGTTGTTTATGCTGTCCTACAAGAGAGCTGTTATCAGACATATGTCTGCGCCCCTTCCCTTGCAATTACCCCCATGTCAAATAATTCTTTACTTGGAGGAAGTGAAGGTTAGACTTGAATGCCATCTCCACATTAGCACAACTTCTAAGACAAAGATGTGTTTTGAACCCTGGTCCTCTAAGGTTTTCGTTGTACACACTTCCCATCCATGGCACTGGTTTAGCACAGAATAAATTTATTTCTCTGTGTGGAATAGGATTTTGGAACCTTAAAGATGATTAGTGATCTGTTCTAATGCAATGAAACATTGACACAGCCTATAAGATCAGAAATCCAGAAAACTGGGTGTTCGCCTTTTATAAAATAGGACTAATGCCAGGAAGCATTTGGGACTATATTTCCCAGCTGCTTGTGTCTCTTTGTAGTTGTGTGACCATTTCTCACCAATGGAAAGTGAGTGTGAATTTAATGTCTATATCTTCTGGATAAAGGATTTTGAGAAACCCTTCTCTTCTCCTATTCTCTCCTCTCATCTCTCTCTTCTTCTATGTGATGGGAGCATGTGCTGGTAGCATGTGATGGCAGTGAGGCCCAGGGGGATGGCAGAGGCTGAAAATGGAAAGAACTTGGGACATGTGCTCACCATGGCTATTAAAGCCACCTGTAACCAGCATCTTCAGCATGCTGCGTTGTACTTTGACTGGGACAAGAAATAGGCTTCTGTTGTTTTACAATCTAATGGTGAGTTTTGTTTGTTATATTAGCTAGTGTTCCCCTGACTAATACAGCTGAGTTCCATTTGGAAAAAGAATCCTAAACTGATTAACACACACAATACGGGACGGTACTCATTGCTTATGAGATATGGTTACTTGGTAGTTGATGAGTTATGATTTGAAAAGGATTATATATTACACAGGATTATTTTAATCCTCGTCAAATGACATCTGAAGCTTCATAACATTCTTTTATTGTGTCTTATTTTACCTCTAAGCCAACACAAGAGATTTAGTCACTGGTCCATAACAAAACTCCAATTGTGTTATATTTTGCTGATGAAAGAAAAGGTTGTATGGTATAAGGAGTCCTGTAAGAGAACCAATAAGACTCAAGTTCAATCCCTGGTTTTGACACTTGCCAACCTTGAAGTCTTAAGGTGTTATTCAATTTCAACTTCACTTTCTTCATTTGTGAAATACTAGGCGTGGTTACATGTCTTTTTTTATCTAACAGAATAAAGGTATATAGAAATTAGTACCCATGCTCTATTTTACATAGTGTTAAAGTATGTACACAGTTTTTAATATTGTTACTAGTAAAACATTCTGAATAATAGTCATATGGTCATTATGTAAATAAAATGAATGCGCATACTTATAGATGTTATAAAAACTACAGAACCTGTTAACTCACCTTGTAACAACTTTATGAAACATGTCATATGAACAAATCGTGTTAATACATATCACTTCTATATTAGTTGTTCATTGTAAGAATATTTTAGGATTAAAAAAGAAACTCTTGATGGTGCCAGTCATGGAGGCATGCACCTGTAGTCCCAGCTACTCTGGAGGCTGAAGCAGCAGGATCACTTGAGCCCAGGAGTTCTGGGCTGTAGAGCATTATGCTGATTGGGTGTCTGCACTAAGTTCAATATTAATATGGTGACTTCCTGGGAGCAGGGGACCACCGGGTTGCCTGAGGAGATGTGAACTGGCCCAGATTGGAAACTGAGAAAGCTCAAATTCCTGAGGTGACGATTAGTAGGACACTGACTCTGAAAAGCCACTGTATTCCAGCCTGGGCAACACTGCGAGATCTTTTCTTAAAAAAAAAAAAAAAAAAGAGAGAGACAGAGAGAGAGGGAGAGACAGAGACAGAAAGACAGAAAGACAAGACGAAGGAAGGAAGGAAGGAGGGAGAGAGAAAGAGAGAAAGGAGAACAAGAAGAAAGAAAGAAGGAAAGAAAGAAAGAAGGAAGGGAGTAGCCTTGCAGTAAGCCGAGATTGTGCCACTGCACTCCAGCCTGGGCGACAAAAAAAAAAAAAAAAAAAAAAAAGAAGCAAGCAAGCAATAAAGGGAACTTCTATCCCATGTTTATTGATTTCTTTTTAATTTCTATGAGATTATCATTTAGTCATCCTTATGCCAGTAATCACAAGATAATCATGCAGAGTCAAATAAAAAAGATCTGTTTAGTCCATAAATGAGGCTGAAATACATTCCTAGGAGTTTATGTGCGTGATCACGAGCACTGTGTTCCTCTAGATGCTGACCAATTAACCTAGGACCCTAGAACCATGGGTGAGTTAGTGAGAAGAACGGGTATCCTCTCTTTGATGGAACTGGAGTGGTTTTGCAGGCGTTCAGGCCCTGGGAAGCAGCAAGGTTGGTGACTGTCAGGATCAGACAAAGGTCATTAACAGGACCCAAGGGTTCATTTCTGTGGATGAATGCTTATAAGATCTGAGTGTCATGATATATGTGTATGACACTCAGATACACACACATACACACCATATCCATGTATTTGTGTGTATATACACAATTATATGTATATAGAATTATGTATATAATATTTATCTCATTACATAATTCTAGAGTCTTATATTGACTGTAACCCTTCCATACTTTGCATTTTCTTTCACCTACAGTATAAAACTTAGCAATCTACAGGACTTGGATTTTTATAAGCCTTCCAACCTGAAGATAATCTAGTATAAAACCTGCAATAATCTAGAATCTCTGGGCATTAGGTGGAGTTTAGTACAGAGTGGGTAAAGGAATCCTGGAATTGTGAATTCAGTTTCTATTTCTGCTTCGTTTTCTACCCATTAAAGAAATTATTCAGAGTCAGCCTGAAGTCGGGACCAAACACTGAGGAGAACATAAGATTGGGAGTTACTTTCCCCATAATGTTCTCCTCCTCTCTACTAGGCTGTCATTAGTAAGGATGCCTTAAATCCATACAGCTGCATGAGTTCTTAAGCTGGACGTATTGTTATTTCTAGTCCTGCAGCCGTGAAGATATTGACTTTTTAAAAGATTCATTGTATACTGAACAGATCAAACAAATCAAAGACAAATGGAGGGATGATGTTCCCAAGACTAACAAGATCTGATGGGCCTCAGTTCTGTCATCTGTAAAATTAAGACTACAATAATTTCTGTACAGAGTGGATATTAAGTTATAATGTAAAAGCAAAAACAATTTTACGTAGTATAAGAAAAACAAGCTAAGAAATGTGTTGCCTGTTTTATTGCTGATATAGCGCATAATTTTTGCTATGGTTATAAAAATAATATATATAAGTAAAATTATATATGTATAGTATATGAAAATATTTGTGATTTTAGTAGCTAAGCTAAAGTGTTTTTATTTACAATGACAGGAGGAAAACTATTTTCTGCCCCAAAAGCAACAGTGCTTCTGCAGGTAGCATTGCAAACTCCTGAAGCACATTCGGAAGATTTTAAACTGCATGTTAAATCTTGCAGTTTGAAACTGCGAGTCTTCCTGTGTGGCAAAGCTCTCCTCGTGGAAATGATTTTCTCGAAGCCTCATCTCAAAAAGTGCTGTCATTTTCCCCCGAGTTTGCCATTTCCCACCCCCTCCGCGTGCACTTTTCTTTGATAAAGAAGTTCCCCTCTGTGGCACAGCCCTGGAGATTTAGAAGTTCGCCTCCTGAACAATTGTTTCTCAAAATTATTCAAACTGTATTTTACGATGATGGGGTGTCTGCGTCTTTCTTCCCTCTCCAGATCTTCCCCAATGAGACCGCCGCGGGGTTGCCAGGGCTCAGCTGCTTTCATCATCAGACGGGCTGTGGTTGGCAGTGAGCTTGGGGCTGGCACAGTGGGGACTGGGGCTCTGGCGGCCCGGTTAGCAAATGATGTGGTTAATGAGCGCACGCTTCCTTTAAAGTGCCTTCTTTGGACAGATCAAACCTGTTTGCATTCTAATTGCTCTCCTTGGTGGCTTAGACTTTCTTCTCTTACCTTTCTCCTAAAAGGATATCAAAATTGCCCAGCCCTTGCATGTAAGATTCCTATACAAAACCATATTACAATAGATGGATTTCTTGGAAGCAGCCTGGTGGGTAGAAAGGAGACTGATATGAGAGTGAGAAGGCATGTGCCCTCACCCCGACTCAGCCACGTGGAAGAGGCGTGACGTTGTACAAATGACTTCACACCTGTACCTCCATTCCCCTAGCAGGAAAATGAAGATTTCAAACTAGATGACTCTAAGATACCTTTTAGCTCTGAAAAGTAAAGTAACTAACTTTTTTTTCTCTGCAAAGGCATTAGAAAATTAGAATCTCTGCATCCTCCTCTCCAACCGTAAAATTTTCTCTCCTTTATAAATGTTTACATTATATTCCACTAAACTTCTGGATGATTAAAGAGCTATAAGTTCAAGTCTACAGTACTGAGTTTCAGTAAGTTAAAAACCTCCCTGGAATCAAGCTGCTGTATTTTAGTCTTCTTTTCTTTGTCAGCAGTTTTAACAAAACTGACATCTTTTAAAAGGTGGTAACAGGAACATACAGTTACTAAAAAATATGTATATACAATGATTGTAGCTGTTGATTAATCTGAAAGTACACGAAGTTGAGTACAGTGTTGACACAAATGGAAGATGGTGCATCTGATGTTGGCTAAACACTACAACGACCACAGTTAAAACGATAGTGGATAGAGCAAGACAGACCAACAACAAACTTAGTGGATGGGAATTTTGTAAATGATAGAAACACATTACAAATACGTGGGAAAAAAGCTACTTCATAATGATGCTGAGAAAAATAATTAACTATTTGAAAAAAATGTGAAATTAGACCCTTTCCCTAAAACATTCGCCATATTACAGATGCGTTTTTTAAAGTGAAAATGAAGCTATAGGACTGGAAGCAATTAAAGGAATATTATCTACAGAAGGAATGTGGAGGAACTTCCAAAAGTAAGACTGACAGATTTGTAAATTTTAAATCCACGCTGTCAAAAATTATCATGAAAAATGAAACCAAGCTTCAGCAACTGCAATCCAGGAATGTTCTTGCGGATATCGGCAATGTATCCCTTTTTTATGCTAAATTGGATAAATATAACCAGAGTGCTTCCTCCCATGTTGGCAATGACTTTGGCAATTTCCAAGTTTTGATCTTATGGATACAGTTTCTGCAGACATTTCTGAACAAGTTGTGTGTGTGTATGTGTGTATGTAATTGTATAGTTTCTTTTTCTTGTGTAAATACCTAAGTTACATTTCTAGGTGGTAGGTTAGTTGTATGTTTCATTTATTAAAAATTGCCAGGCCTTTTTCAAAGTCATGTGCCATGGTACACTCCCACCAACAGTGTCCTCGTGTTCCCTTTGCTCCACATCCTTGTAAACTTTTTCTGTTACAAATCTTTATTCCTCTGGGTATAGTAACGGTGCATATTTAATTGTGGGTTTAATATGCATTTCACTGATTACTGGTGATTGGAGCACTTTTTCATGTGTTCACTCGACAGTCATGCAGCTTCTATTTGGAAAGCATCATTTCAGCTGTTTCACACATTCCTTTTGTTGGTGTTTTTAAAATTTTGTGTTGTGAAAGTTTATATATATATTGTTAGTACATATTTATATTGCTTCTAATAGATCTTTTCCTCCCTGTTCTCTTATGCTTTCTTCTGGGCATCACCTCAGAAATAAGTTACATGCATCTACCTCCATGCCTCAGGCCTGATATAAAGAGCTCTGAAGAAACAAAAAAGACTCACGTTCATTCCTTGCCTTTGACACTTTCCAACCATGAAGTCTTAAGGTGGTATTCAATTTCAATTTTAGTTTCTTCATTTGTGAAACTTTCACAGCACATGTATTTGAGACATATATGTATGTATAGGTATACGGTGTATATATATGTATATGGTATATATATACATATATACACATATATGTGATATATATGTACATGGTGTGCATATATATATGGTGTACATATATATATGGTTTGTGTGTGTGTGTGTATATATATATATATATGCGGTACCAGTTATTTGTTAAATGCCTGTTTTGCAATTATATTCTCCAAGTCTGTGACTTGCCTATTCATTATCTAAAGAGTGCCTTTCAAGGAACAGAAATTTTCTGGTTTTCTTTAATATGTATAAAGTTATTTTAAAATTTTGTATCTTTTTAAAATTTCTGCTGGTTACTGGGATTTTTCAAAGAAAACTTGGCCTTCCCTCAAATCATAAATATGTCTAAGCTTTATAATTTTATCTTTTACAGTAGACTTTGATCCACCGTGAGTTAATTTTTCATTGTTTTATGCAATTGTATTTTTATTTATTTTTTAAATTCTCGAATACTATTTGTGGATATTCATGGAGCCCATGAAGCCTCCATACATAAAATGTATAGTGATCTGATCTAGGTAATTATCATGTCCATCATCTCAAACATTTGTCATTTATTTGTGTTGAGAACATTCATTATCCTCCTCCTAGCTACCAGAAATTATAGAATATAATATGGTTTGCTATAGTCCTATTATAGTGCTGTAAGATGCTAGGATGTGTAGGTTGTGTTAGAGTTTCTTTCCTTCTTTTTCTCATTCCTTCCATCTTCCCTTCCCTTCCCTTCCCTTCCCTTCCCTTCCCTTCCCTTCCCTTCCCTTCCCTTCCTTTCCCTCCCCTCCCCTCCCCTCCCCTTTCCTTTCCTTTGCTTTCCTTCCCTCCCCTCCCCTTCCCTTCCCTCTCCTCCTCTTTCCTTTCCTTTCCTTTCCTTCCCTCCCCTCCCCTCCCCTTTCCTTTCCTTTCCTTCCCTCCTTCCTTCCTTACTTTCTTCTTTCCTTCCTTGTTTGCTTCCTTTCTTGTGGCTGTTTAGGTACTCCAGCATTATTTATTAAAAAGAATTTCCTTTTCCTGTATGATTGTTTTGAAACTATTCTCAAAAATTACACTTGTGAGTCAATTTCGGGCTCTTTATCACATTCCACTGGTCTATTTATTATTTCTTCTGCCAACAGCACACTATCCTGGTTACTGTAGCTTATAGGAAATCTTGAAGTCAGATATTGTAAGACCTACAACTGTTGTTTGTTTTATGTTGTTTGCACACACACTACAGATATCCACTTTCGATTTCTATAATAAAATCTTCAAAACTGAGTCACATGCATGCACCTCCATGCCTGAGGCTCTGCCTTGTGGGTGTGGCCGGATGAAGACCTTCTTTGTCTTACCTGCCTTCACTGATCTGAAGCCAGCCTCACTGCCGTGCCTTTTCCCTCTTAATATTTTTTATATATTATAAATGTAATGAAAAATTATCTAAATTTTCACCAAAATTCTAAACTGTTTTAAAATTCTGAAGACCTTGACTGAAGTAAATCATTACTATTTAACTGTATTTCCATGAAAAAAATGTTTAATTGTGTTTATATTTAATTTATAAATAGGTTAAATTTATTATATTTAAATGTATGTTTTTACAACTTTAAAGTGGACATCATGGCTTACATTCTTCCTAGTGTACAGATTCTTTTTATGAATTGTATTTTTAAATTATATATATGACAACATACAAATATACAGAAAGGTTAATTTTATTATTTATATACAATAACTCACTTTCTATAGTTACTTATAAATAACCAAGTAATACCGTTAGGGTGCAATTAGATTTATTATCACATGCTTTTTTTTTTTTTCACTGAAAACTGAGTCTCTTAGAATTTTGGCAAGGTCTCTTTTAATATCAGAAATATTCCCATTCTCCAACCTAATATCTTCATGTGATCTCAAGCTACTGTTCTCTGTTGATTCATTCTGCGACACATCTATAAAAGCAGGAAAGCCCATATTTTCACTTGTTTTCTTAATGGAAACTTGAAGCACATTGTGAATATTGTGTGCTAGTATCACGTGAGTTGTTTGTAACTATTAATATTGAAGCTGCAGGCTGAAATTTCCTTCCCTGTACAGAACGCACATTGCTCTCTGACAGATCCTCGTACGTGTGTGTGTGTGTGTGTGTGTGTGTGTGTGTGTGTGTAAAGTTATATAAGCTATTAGGCACTGAAATTTCTTTTTACCCAGCTTGAAGTTCTGCCTTAAATCCCTTTCATTGGCCCCACCTTGCTGCATATACCTGGACGGCAACATGTCAATATTATCTTCCTATAAAGCCTAGAGTAGACTAGAGATGAACATTACTTTCACTTTTCCTTTTACCAAAGAACCCTGCCATTATGCCATTTGATTTTCCTGAATAATGGACTTCCTGAGCCGAAGGAATGGCCAAAGTCAACCTTTCTATTTTAATTTAAGAAGACAGAACACAATACTGTCTTCTTCTCCACCTTTAATCTTTACATTAATCTTTTAAAATGTATATTCCCTGGCAGGCCCAGATGGGTGGATTGCTTGAGGTCAGGAGTTCCAGACCAGCCTGGCCAACATGGTGAATCCCCGTCTATACTAAAAATACAAAAATTAGCTGGTCATGGTGACGGTCACCTGTAGTCCCAGCTACTTGGGAGGTGGAGGCAGAGGAATCACTTGAACCCAGGAGGCAGAGGTTGCAGTGAACTGACATCTCACCACCCCACTGCAGCCTGGGCACAGAGTGAGACCCTGTCTCAAAAAATAAATAAATAAAAATAAATACAATAGAATGTATATTCCTGCAAAATGCTGGATTAAAATTATTCTCTGATGGTCCTGGGTGGCTTGAGATCATCCTTGATGCCTGTCCAAGAAGCTGTCTGAGGAGATGAAACATAAGCACCTCATCACTGTAACACATTTTTACATTTGCCCCTTGGCGTGATCAAGCCAAGTGAAGCTTGGTAACCTATTGTTAAGTAACCTGGATTTTTCATGTCAGGGACCCTTGTATACAAAGCATAGTTAAAAATGACTTTTGTTAGGGTGTGTAGGGAAGACAAGACAGTCTTTCTAGATAACATTTATCTGTGTTTGCTGACAAAACTACTGCCATCTGGTCACACAGTTTAATCTCCTAGAGCCTATCCCTCTCCCTTGACCATAATCAAGCAGACTCTTAGGCCTGTGAGAAGCCAAAAGTGCAGTGGCATGCACAGAGTAAGGGTAAGAATGGGGCATGGAACTGGGAACAGCGGCTCAGGCCTGTAATCCCAGGGCTTTGGGAGGCAGAGGTGGGCAGATCCCTTGAGGTCAGGATTTCGAGACCAGCCTGGCCAACATGGTGAAACCCCGTCTCTACTAAAATATAAAAATTATCTGGGTGTGGTGGTGTGCCCCTGTAATCCCACCTACTCGAAAGGTTGAGACAGGAGAAGCTCTTGAATTGGGGAGCTGCAGGTTGCCATGAGCTGAGATAGCACCACTGTACTCCAGCCTGAGTGACAGAGTGAGACTCCATCGCAAAAAAAAAAAAAAAAAAAAAAAAAGTGGGATGGCTGGAGTATTGGTGAAATGCAGCTACTCTCCTAATACACAGTTGATACAGATTCTGCTGCCGCCAACAACACTATTGCTTCCATTCATCTTCTCTTTGACGTTATGAATAGATAGGAACATTTAATTGTTAATCTGGCAATGAGACAACAAATATTTTCTTAAATAGCTTTTTGTAGTTTACTTGTCTTTTTTAAAAGATCTGGGGGTAAACTCAAGAAAACTCTCAATTTTTCCATTGTTCTCATGTATCAAAAATAGTTCATGACGCAGCAGATAGAAGATTAATACTCAAGTTCCTTCTGTTTTCCCGGACCAAAAGAAAGTCTTCTATTTGAGTTATGTCATTTATTCCCATATATTATTCATGGCCAACTTACAGAATAAATTAGCTACATCTCTTAGTATAATATTTGGCCAATTCCCTCTCCTCTAGAGATTATATTCACATTTTTTTGTGAGTTAAATAATAAAAAACATTAAAATGTCAGTCATCCATAATATTAAGAAGAACCTATTTTAAAAGGTTAATGAAGATGACACTTCTCGCAGCAGAAACACTGATCATATCTGGGGCGAAGGGGACCATCCTACGTTGATTTCCCTATCCCACATTTACCAACTGTGTTTGAACATCTTCATTGATGGTTTCGGTAAATACTCTTCATGATGAAGCCAGAAAAATCAAGAATTCAGAAGTCACTATTCTCACTGTGTTGGCGAAGTGAGGGAAGATAGATTCTTCTATCATCTCAGCAGAGAATTGCTTATTTTATGCAGATTTATAGTGTCTGCAGAACAAGAATTCTGTCACTCATAATGACTCCAGCCATTATTTATTTATCAGCCCGGGTAAAAGTTACAAGTCACACTACACCGGACAGCTGTTGGTTTTGCCTGTTCATCCATCGTTCCCTCTTTGTCTGTTAACACTGAAGATTTTCCTCTGAAAACCACCTTTTCTCACTTTCAGCCCCTGTAGTTTGCATGTGTTTGATCACATCCCTCCAGGTCTCCCAGGGAGCGTCTGTCTCAGAAGCTGGGCACAGAGGCTGACCATACATAGGTTATGTGGGCATCTTGAACCAAGAGACACACCTATATCTTCACTTGAACTATGAAGGGGACGGCTAATGGGTACAATCAGAGTTAGACAGAATAAATAAGTTCTCGTGTTTGAATGCATAACAGGTGACTACAGTGACTAAACAATAACTTATTGTACATTTTTAAATGACTAAAAGGGTATAATTGGAACATTCATAACTCAAAAAATGCTAAATGCTTGAAGTGATGGATGCCCCCTTTAACCTGATGTGATTATTACAAATTGTATACCTGTATCCAAATATCTCATGTACCTCATAAATATATACACCTACTATGTATTCATACAAGTTAAAAATTTTAAAACATTAAAGAAAGAAAGATGATCCTTTCTGCTCAAGTTCCTAGCTGATACAATGTACATAGGGGGCTGCTCAGGGCAATATGGAGAAAAACACACCATACTAAGTCCACACCAAAGAAAGAAGACAAAGAGAGAGAAGAAAGGCTTTAATCTTCAGGCCCTTACATTTTTTTTTCTTAAGTTTCTTTGAGTAGGGCGTTTGTGTCTTGCAACTAAAAGCATACTAAGGAATAAATAATGCTGTTATTAATCAGAAGACAGGAAAGAATAATAGACACAACAAGTAAGAGGATTCAGAGAGCAGAAACTGTCTGGGACTAGCTGTCTGATGTCATTGACGACATTGATTGTTGGTGTAAGCAGACACGGGTGGAATACATTTTGATGGTCACCTTCTTGAGGAAAGGCTGAACCCAGGTATCCCCTGGAACAGAGATGCTGTGCAATTTCCTACAGAAGCAGGGAGGAGGAAAGTTTGCTGCATTGTATTTGTCAGGCTTTGAAGACTATTGGATAGTGTTTTTAAATAAGGAGTCCTCAGTTTAAACAGAACAAAACCTGTGTACAGAAAAGTAGCTATGTACTCCTCAAATCACACAGGAGCAAGGAGTAACAGAGCCAGATTTTAAAGCCAAGTCTGCCTGATGTGAATGGGCATGTTCATCTACTATAACTTACTAATAACATTAGGGACACCAGTTACTTTACTAAGGCAAACGGTTGCTTTTTGGGGGGTAATAGATATATGAGATCAAAATGACCTCACCCACCATCAGCCACAGTGCCTGACATCTTTGTTATTAGAGATTCCTTTGAATTCTGATTTTTTAAATTGCTGTGCTTTGGAGCAGAGGGCTTAATGTATGTCTAAATATATCATACTGAATACCTTTTTCAAATCAGAACGGGATTTTTGCCAGCATTAAACCCTTGAATCTTATTGATGGCTCTGCATCTTATATAAAACTCTTTAGTTTACAAAGAATTTTTGGCACAGTTCAATGTGAACATCACCGGACCTCATGTACTCATGAGATGGTTGAACCTTGGGACGTCAGCATAGTTTGAGGGTGGAGGAGCAGAGAGTATGAAATGTTAACTGGAAAGGCAGGAAACGTTTAAAGATGATACATCTTTGTGCAGGAAGAGCATGTGAATTTGTTTTATCTGCCGTCCATGATGAAAACGAAATCTTACAGAATAAAAATTGTGATTAGTTGTAACATGAATAAGCAGGCTCTGCTATTATACAGAAACATGAATGGATTATCAAGCATAAAAGGAAAGCTAAAAAATTCACCAAGATTAAAAAATAGCATCCGGGCCTGGCGCAGTGGCTCATGTCTGTAATCCCAGCACTTTGGGAGGCTGAGGAGGGCAGATCACCTGAGGTCGGGAGTTCAAGACCAGAGTGACCAACGTGGAGAAAACCCGTCTGTACTAAAAATACACAATTAGCTGGGTGTTGTGGCGCATCCCTGTAATCCCAGCTACTCGGGATGCTGAGGCAGGAGAATCGCTTAAACCCAGGAGGCGGCGAGCAGAGATGGCGCCATTGTACTCCAGCCTGGGCAACTAGAACAAAACTACGTCTCAAAAAATAAAAAATAAAAGTAATAAAAAATAGAAAAGCAGCATCCAAGATATATGTTGAGCCAACATCCTTTGAAACTTACAGTAGTCACCGTTACAAAAAAAAGAGAAGCCCAAAGGAAGTGAAGAATTCCTGAGAGCACACTTAATGTAGTTAATTTATCTGATAGGGCATTAGAAATCTGCAAATTAGGTTGCTGAAATACAGTCACTGATCTCGGAGGAAATGTGGTGACTGAGTTTATTAGAATCCAGATGAAGAAATGCCACTGCACTTCATTCAATATGCGTTTAGAGGAACTGAACCATACCAGAATCAACACACGCTTTTAGGAGGTCAACAGGAAGTCCTTGCAAAATGGGGTTCTTTCACTTACACGTGCATCGACATTACCTGGTGGGCTTATTAAAAAAAAAAAAAAAAAGTTGTTGAAACGCAGTTCAAGAGTGTCAGAGAGTCCAGACTGAGACTTGAGAATCTGCATTCTTAACAAAGTTCAAGGTGAATTTGTTTCTAATGCTACTGGTCCAGGAAGCATGCACTGAGCAGCTCTTGGAATGCTGTGGTGAGCTGCGCTGAGCCAGCCATTTGACAGCATATTTTGGGAACCAACTGAAGAAGTCCAGGTGTTGCATAAGCATGGTAATGAGCTGTATTTTTTTGTGTATTTGGAGACAAGGTCTCTCTCTGTCCCCTAGGCTGGAGTGCAGTGGTGTGATCATAGCTCATTGCAGCATCCACCTCCCAGGCAATGCTCCCACTTCAGCCTCCTGAGTATCTGGAACTACAGGCATGCGCCATGGTCAGCTAATTTTTTTTATTTTTTATAAAGGTTGGGGTCACACTATGTTGCCCAGACTGGTCTCGAACTCCTGGGCTCAAGTGATCCACGCACCTCAGCCTCCCAAAACGTTGAGGTTACAGGAGTGAGCCACTGCACCTGGCTCCTCAAGCTGTATCTTCCTATTTAAAAAAAAAATAAATAAATAAACTTTATTGTGTATGCTTGATGTTTAGAACATAATGTCATGGTATATCGTCAAAAGTTAAATGATGACTATAGTGAAGCAGATTAACATATGTAGCATCTCACATGGTTTCTTTCCTTGTGTGCAACAAGAACAGCTAAAATCTCCTCATTAAAATCTCTAAGACAATTCAATTTTATTAACTTGATTCCTCATATTGTACTTAATCTGCAGGTCTCTTTCCTCATATTTCTGTTGACTGTGCTGTAGGTGACGAGAAAAAGTCTTGCCATGCCTTTTCTCACTTCAGGTGCCTAAATTGGGGGTCATGCATGCATCATGTTCTCTATAGGTTTCCTAACCTCCGAAAAATGTGGAATTCACTCTATATCATTTAAGTAGATGATATGTTAAGTAAAGGTTATTGAGTTAATCACAGAATTATTAGAATGGCCAAAGAAATATATTCAAAGATAAGATTGCAGGGAAAATGCTGCAAGCCATACCCCAACTTGGCCTTCTGCTGCATCCCAATGAGGTGGTTTAACTTGCACGCCATTGTCAACCCACAACCAAACTACATTAGGAACCTTCCCTGAAATCTTCCTCATGTCCCCAGGTGCCACTCTTAGAACAGAGTGGATTCTCCACACAGAGCCTTTGTCCTAAAGTGGCTCACCTCTGTGTGGGGTCTGGAGGCGCATAAGAACCTTTCACAAGCCTGTACATTAACCACAAGCAAACTGAGAAATGTATATTTCTGGAGTCTACGTTGAAAATGTAGACTTTTAGAATGTGGAGATTGATCCAAATTTAGGGAAAATGTTCCAAAAATGTCAGATGGCCTTTTCAGTGGGTGTTCTGGTTTATTGTTGTTCAACAAATGATGCCAAAACTTGGTGACTTAAGACGATGATTTGTCATCTCTCCTAGTTGAGTGGGTAGATGGGAATGAGCTAGGCAGTCCTTGCTTAAGGTTGCTCGTGCGTTTGCATTCAGAAGTGGTTGGACCCATCTCATCTGGGAAAGGCTGCATGTCTAAGTTGTTTCACCAACATGGATGCCAGTCAATGTTTTCTATCGACTGAGTGTCATCTGGGGCTATGATCCAAGTGCTTACACATGTCTTTTCTTTGATGTATGAGCTTCTCATAGCACCATTGCTGAACTGAAGAGAAAACAACAGAAGAAGTGTGTATGTGAGGCAGGAACATGAAGAAGCCTCCATTTTCTCTAAAGGACTACTCCTGGATTTGGACAGCGTCACTTCCACTGTATTTCCATTGATCACAGGATTTGCCCAGAATCAGAAGGCAGAGTGGCAATATCACATTGCAAAATAGCATGCAGGATAAGAGCTGTTGCTGTGTCCCTCTTTGGAATATGCAATCTGACAGATTGCTATTTAAAAGTGGACAGATGGAGCATTTTTGCAGCTAACTCAACAAACAAACACCCATAACACATGCATGCACACACACCAACACACACTATATCTTGATATTCAGTCAAAATTATTTCTTTCTTGACTTTAAATACTATGATAATTATCTTTACTGCCTACTTACCTATAAACACTAAGCCAGAAGCCAGAGTTTGAGATCTATCACTGTGATAGAAGTAGGAAAAAGAAAAAGCATTTGACAAAATTTAACACCCTTTCATGATAAAAACTCTCAACAGAATAAGTATAGAGGGATTTTAACTCAACACAATAAAAGCCATAAATGACAAAGCGGTAGCTAACATCATACTCAATGGTGACATGTTGACAGCTTTTCTCTGGGTTCAGGGAGAAGACAAGGATGCCCACTTTCAGTACTTTTCTACAGAGCTGTGGAAGTCTGAGCTGGAGCAATTAGACAAGAGAAATAAATAAAAGTCACCCTAATAGGAAGGGAAAAAGTGAAATTGTCTGTTGGCTGACAATATGATCTTATACAGAGAAAACTGTAACGACTCCACTAAAAGCTAATAGAATTGATAAATAAATCCAGTAAAGTCACAGGATACAAAATCAACACACAGAATTGGTAGCATTTTTATACACTAATAAAAAGCTATCTGGAAAAGGTATAAAGAAAAGAATCCTATTTACAACAGCAACAACAAATTAAATACTTAGGTATAAATTTAAAGTGGTAAAAGACTTGTATACAGAAAACTGTAAAACTCATGAAAATTTTTTTAAAAATCACACAAATAAATGGAAAGGTATGCTGTGCTTATTGCTTAATAGAATTAACATTGTTAAAATGTCCATACTATCCAAAGTGATCTACAGATTCAATGCAGCCACTATTTAAATTCTAATGTTATTTTTCACAGAAATGAAAAAAAAATTCTTAAATTTGCATGAGACCACAAAAGACCCCAAATAGCCACAATCTTAAGTAAAAAGAACAAAGCTGCTGCAGCCAGTTAAGCCACCTGAGTTCCTTTCCTCATAGGGGTCCAATGTGCAATGGCTGCAAACAGCCGCTTCCCTGTAGTATATGCTGCCCATTTCTTGTATGGGTTGCTCTAAGGGACCTTGGAGACAGGCTTTCAGATGGATGTTCTTGCCTCTGAACTTGCACTACCCCAATGCAGGCTCCAAACAGACATGTGAGGTGCCTTGGAAAAGGCCCAGGGCACTGTGGACAGGGTTCACATTGGCCAAGTTATCATGGCCATTTGCACCAAGCTGCAGAACAAGGAGCATGTAATTGAGGCCTTACGCAGGGCCAAGTTCAAGTTCCCTGGCTACCAGAAGATCCATGTCTCGAAGAAGTGGGGCTTCACCAAGTTCAACGTGGATGAATTTGAAGACATGGTGGTTGAGGAGTGGCTCATCCCAGATGACTATGGGGTCAAGTACATCCCCAGTCATGGCCCTCTGGACAAGTGGTGGGCCCTGTATTCATAAGGGCTTCCACTGTGCTGCCCCCTCTTAACACTCACCCACAAATTCTACCTCCTGTCAAAAAAAAAAAAAAAGAAGCGTCAGACTATCTGACTTCAAGATATATTACAAAGCACTTATAATCAAAACAGCATGGTACTCACATAACAACATATTGACCAAAGGAACAGGACAGAAAGCCCAGAAATAAACCCATGCATTTATAAGCAATTGAGTTTTGACAAATGTGCCAAGAACATACAACTTTGAAAGGACAACCTCTTCAATAAATGGTGTTGGGAAAACTGTTCATCTCATGAAGACTTCTATGAGGATTGTGTTTTCATGAGAACAGAAGAGGTTAAAACAAATAAAATGATAAAAGAGAATGAGGCATATTGAAATGTCTTCATTGCCTAGGGTAATACCTGAGATTCATTCCCTCATAGCCACGGAAAACTGTGACTCAGACCACCAGAGTGAGGTTAGGAGCAGAAGTTTAATAGGTGAAAGAAAGAGAAGAGCTCTCTGTACAGAGAGGGGTCCCAGAGAAAATGAGTTGCTGCTTCCACGATGAAGTACAGGAGGTTTTATAGATGAGCTTGAGGAGGTGGTGTTTAATTTACACAGGGCATGAGATATCGGTCAGCCCAGGTGTGCCATTTGCATAGCATGCAAAAATCTGGCCACCCCCATTCTAATATTTTTCACGCAGAAATCTACTGGCACCATGTTGCCTGTTCCTTTACTGTACACGTGGTGACAAAGAAAAGGGAAGATAGAGCCTCTGGGTTGAACATAGCTGGCCCTCAGGTAGTGCCGAATTTCAGGCCTTCATCTTTGTTTGGGGTTCTCCAGAACAGTACCTACAGAAAGAGCTGCAGTCTTGCTTCCCACCTAACCACTAGAAACCTACCTGAAATACACATCTAACCTTGTCACTATCAAAGTTAAATAAAAATAAAACCAAACTTTTTTTTTTGTTTAAGAGCCACTGCCTTAGCAGGATGCCACAGGACCTCAGTGACCTGGTGGCTGCTCCTGACTCCATCTGTAAAGGACTTTCCCACTTACATTTCCTGCATAGACTGTGGAGTGCCCTACCACAGGACTTTGTGTAAGCTGTCCCGTTATTAAAAGGCTAACCCCCCTGATTTTTATCTACACAACACCTACTCTTCCTTTCTGTAAGGACTTTGCTCCGGCATCACCTTCAGAAAATTTCCCTGCAGCCTCCATTCCTTGTCCTGAGTTGGATTCTCTTCTCTTCTCTGCTCTCATGAGTGCATCCTTCTAACAAGTCCTTAGCCTATTTTATTATCTCGTGTTGTGTCTATCTCCATGACAGGGCTTGAAGCCTTCTGCAGGCAGGGATCATGTCTTATTTTTATTTTTGTATCCATTGCCCATAGCATAGGCTATCAAAAAATACTTGTTGAACAAATAATTTTGTGTTCTTCCTGATCATTTGGAAGAAATGTTGCATTGTCAATAAGATGTTTAGTATTCTTTGTAAATGTTCTAGGAAACAGTATAAGGTACTTTGAGTTTATTTCCATCAATTTGCCAAATTTCAGAGTTCTATAGCTGTAGGTAACAAGCAAAACTAAGTAAGACAAGAGATGCACACTTGGTAGTCAGCGCCAAAATGTTATTAGCACTTTCTCATTTGTGCCACTGATGTACAATCATGTCTTTGTAGAAAGAGAGAGCTAACTTATTTTCCACGGAAATTGTGGCACAGATCACATACCAACCCTGAATTGGTTAATCTTTCTTCAACACCATAAAAATTATTTCAACCAATAACATTGTAATCCACACATTAGTTCTGAAGGATTTTTGTTCATTCAAAAGTGATCATCATTTGGTAGTCAGTGACATCCAGTCTTCTAAATTTTCAGAGGTCATTTTCCCCAGCTCTGAGATGAATGAAATATATTCAAGAAAAAACAAAAACAAAACAAGAAACTTGTTTGAGAAGGACTTAGCAAGGTCGATTTTGCAAAGTTAAATTCCTAAGTACAAATATTTTGATTTGAACATGTATAGATAGCACAGCCCATTCCTTTCAAAGGCTTGTACTACTACACAATTTACGGAATAAACTACACACAAACAGCCAGTGGCAATATCAGAAATGCAGCAGCCAAACCTAAATGAATTATTCACATAATAAACCCCTGTCAATTACTAGTTAAAAATAATGTGTGTGAGTGTAACAGAGAAATATCTGTTAAAATTATTGTGAAATTTGACTTCTTAATGTTTCTTCCATAACACATGTTCTTAAACATCATGTAAGCTCAGGAAGGTGGTGAGGGGCCTGTTCTCTCTGGCAACAGGTGATACATCTCCTCTCTGTCACTGAATCTCAAAGGAAACCATACAGAATGGAGGAGAGAAAGTTTGGCAAGAGATGAGCAATAACCTAACTTTAATTCTGTTCCCCTGTTTCTGAGTGCTCAGCTGGGGCATGTGGCTCATACGCATTCATGAAAACATTTCGCCATTGTGTGAGCCTACCAAGACAATCGATTTAGACAACACAATGGCTTGGGAGTGATAGGGCCACACTCCAAATTTCAAAAGTACCAGGACACACAAAATCAAAACAAACTATTTTTGTGATAATTGAATTTCACTCAGATTTAGCCACACAAAAAATGAACAATAAGGGAGTTGCTTCCAATTGCAATTTTAGAAAATGATGGAGGTGGCAAGAATCAGAAATACACGCTCGCCATTAACATTCAGAAATAATTTGTGTCAACAATTTTACATATATGACGTATGTATGTCCTTATTTTAAGAAGCATAAAGCTATTTATAGCTAAAGAATTAAACCTGTTAAATCACATGATTATGGAGAAAAACAACAGCTTTCAATGTTTTCTATCTGCAGGGCAGCAAATTGTCTTTAGGGACAATTTTAATATACGCCAGGAAGAACATTTATGCAAATGACACCTTCTCTAGAGCCAATGTTAAGAAAAGACTTCCTAAGTAAAACTGTTGTCCTGACTCATGAAACTTAACTCAGCTGAAGGAAGATGTACACTGGCCTCTTGTAATGTTTGAACTGTTTGAATCTGGTGCTTTTATTTGCAAAGGTGAGCGTTGAGGTTTTGCTTTTAATGAGAGTAGCCATTTTCTTTCTTTTTAATGCAGTTCAGGGTCTCTCTGCCACATTCAACAACAGTTTTCAAAGAATCTGCCTTTAGAAGTGACAGCATAAGTAGCTACTGAGTGGCTATTTTTCTACTAAGATAATTAATATTAATTAAGATTCATGACACATCATTGATCTATACATGTTTAATAAAAATTATGCATAATAAGATAATTTCTATAAGGGAAATCTGAGACTTGTTGCTTCTGGGTTTTGTTTCTTTCTTTGTTTTTTGTAGAGAGAGTTTCACTCTTGTTGCCCAGGCTGGATTGCAATGGCACGATCTCGGCTCACCACAACCTCCGCCTCCCAGGTTCAAGCGATTCTCCTGCCTCAGCCTCCCAAGTAGCTGGGATTACAGGAACATGCCACCACACCCAGCTAATTTTTGCATTTTTAGTAGAGAAGGGCTTTCTCCATGTTGATCATGCTGGTCTCAAATTCCTGACCTCAGACGATCCAACCACCTAGGCCTCCCAAAGCGCTGGCATTACAGGCATGAGCCGCCGCACCCGGCCTTTTTTTTTTTTTTTTGTAATGTTAGTAACTCTCCCCTTTCCTTCTCATGTTGCACCATAAAGGGTTGATAAAGTACACAGAGGAATTACTAGGATAATACCAGACAAGCTGCATTCACCAGTAAATAGAAAGATCAGACAGACACTCAGTTATTAAGAGAGTTGTTCAGACATGGAGTGTGTGCTTTAATAAGATCTTTGGAACATGTAGAAATAATATTTATTCTGTTGTAGAATTCAGGGTTTGTATAACTCCCTTGGAAACATAGATTGTTATTTAGATACTTAATAAAGAATATGAATCAAAGAAAAACGACAAGATTATTTTAGTTCGTGTTTCCTCGTTCTTAGAAGCTGTTAGAGTAGGTAGGTTAGGCGGACATGAGTAAGGCAGGAGAGGGAACCCCCAGGAATGTCAGGTGACCATTAAGCGATGGTCAGGTGGTTATTAAACTATCTCTGTAACGTAATAATTAGTTGCAGCCAGTGCCAGGGAAAGATAGTCTCCCAAGAGATAGAAAATACCTGACGCTGGTGATCAGCAGCTTCTGATAAGATTTCAGGGGTTGGGTGAGTGGGCTCAAACGTGGCACCAAGAAGCAAAATAGTGGAGTTTAACTGGTATATGACCTTCCTCTAGGAATGGTCAAGTGGTAAATGAAAAACACCTCAAGTAGGAACAACACACACCAGGGTCTGTTGAGGGGTGGAGGGTGAGGGAGGGAACTTAGAGGACCGGTCAACAGGTGCAGCAAGTGCAGCAAACCACCACGGCACCCACGTACCTATGTAATGAACCACCACGGCACCCGCATACCTATGTAACGAAGCACCACGGCACGCGCGTACCTACGTAACGAACCACCACGGCACCCGCGTATCTATGTAACGAAGCACCACGGCACGCGCGTACCTATGTAACGAACCACCACGGCACCCGCGTACCTATGTAACGAAGCACCACGGCACGCGCGTACCTATGTAACGAAGAACCACGGCACGCGCGTACCTATGTAACTAACCACCACGGCACCCGCGTACCTGTGTAACGAACCACCACGGCACCCGCGTACCTATGTAACGAAGCACCACGGCACGCGCGTACCTATGTAACGAACCACCACGGCACCCGCGTACCTATGTAACGAAGCACCACGGCACGCGCGTACCTATGTAACGAACCACCACGGCACCCGCGTACCTATGTAACGAAGCACCACGGCACGCGCGTACCTATGTAACGAACCACCACGGCACCCGCGTACCTATGTAACGAAGCACCACGGCACGCGCGTACCTATGTAACTAACCACCACGGTACCCGCGTACCTATGTAACGAACCACCACGGCACCTGCGTACCTATGTAACGAAGCACCACGGCACGCGGGTACCTATGTAATGAACCGCCACGGTACCCGCGTACCTATGTAACAAAGCACCACGGCACGCGCGTACCTATGTAACGAAGCACCACGGCACGTGGGTACCTATGTAATGAACCTCCACGGTACCCGCGTACCTATGTAACAAAGCACCCGCCTACCTATGTGACAAACCACCACGGCACCCACGTACCTATGTAACGAACCGCCATGGCACCCGCGTAGCTATGTAACAAACCACTGCACACCCACGTACCTAGGTAACAAAGCAGCACGGCACCCGCCTACCTATGTAGCAAAGCACCTGCGTACCTATGTAACAAACCACCACAGCACCCGCGTACCTATGTAGTGAACCTCCACGGCACCCGTGTAACTATGTAATGAAGCACCACGGCACCCGCCTAGCTATGTAACAAATCACCACGGCACGTGCGTACCTATGTAAGGAACCATCACAGCACCCATGTACCTATGTAGCGAACCTCCACAGCAACCGTGTAACTATGTAACGAAGCACCACCGCATCCGCGTACCTATGTAACAAATCACCACAGGACCCGCGTACCTATGTAACAAACCTGCAGGTTATGTACATGTATCCCGGTTTTCCTTTCTTAAGACAGTTTTAAAAAATAAGAAAGAAAAAAGAAAAACACCTAAAGTGAGCATGTGCACAACTTCAGTAAACACACTGAGCATGTGGACCCTCCCAAGTGCTGGCAGGCCACTGCCCATGCAGACAGCCCACCCCAAGGGAAGAATCAAGCGAGCAGAACTGCAAACTCCAGAATCACACTGATGTGTAAAACCCCAAGTCACGGATGAAATAGGGCACTTGGATCTCTCAAGTCACCCGCTGGGCCCTCTTCCAAGTGTACTTTATTTACTTCCTTTCGTTTCTGCTCTGAAACTTTTTTGACAAACTCTCAGTCCTGCTCAGAAACTGACCTTGGTTTCTTCCCCTGCCTTAAACTTACTTCTGCCCCTCAGCAGAATTCTTTCCTCCAAGGAGGCAAGGATCAGATGGCGTTTGCTGCAGATCTGTGGGATTTGCCACTGGTAACAAAGCTTTGTAATAGAAAAACGCATTCTTCTAATTTTGAAATAAAACTAAATTTTACCCAACCTTTTATCGCTGTCCAGAAATGACAAAAAAGTGACTAACCTTTTCTGAAACTGCATCTAATTGTGTTTTATATTTTCCTGCTGTGTATTTTCAGAGTATGATGTTAACTTAAAAATTTGAGAGTCATGCTATAAATTAAGAAATACTTCACAACAATAGACTTAGGGCAGCACTTAATGCTTAAATATAGCACTTAATGATTAAATGTAGTTATTTATTATTAACAAGTAATTGTCCATTCTGGCAGTTTGGTAAAGAGGATTTAAAAAAATAAATTGCCCAAAATGTCTATATTAGCAATATACACAAAATATATGAAGACAATGACACTCTTTGATTTTCTCATGAAACTTTTATACAAAATCCAGTCTAACTAGGAAACATCTTACATAAAGAGGAAAATTCTACCACTATTTCTGTAGTGAAAATGAAGCAAGGAGTTGGTAATTGAGAGCTAAGCACAAATCTCCTATAAGATCTTGGGAGATAAAGATAGGCAGAGATGGTACAATGAACTTGGCAACAACTAGCATATTATATGAATGTAAAATCTCTTTTGGTTATAATTCTGTGAAATCATGGAATTTTATAGTGCAGGATTCCAATTATTATTGACTACAAGATGAAGATTCATTTGTCTTAATACGTAAACTCTTGCTTACTTAAAATCTTTGGGGCTTATTGGCTTTGTATATGTTTTTATTGTGTAATTTTTTTAAGTTTCTTTTTATATATTTTGTGTCTTTTGTTCTGTATCATAGCCCAGAATTTAGAAAGGCCTGGTATATAATAGGCTCTTGAGAAACATTTGCTGTTTGATTAATAAATGTTGTTAATGAGAGAAGCAGATCAGAATTTGTGAACATAACTTTTTCTTGAATTTTTGTTTCTGGAAAAACTAAGGCTATATGAGTGATATTCACAAAGTATGAATGTTGCTACTCCTCACTGGTTCTTGGGAAAGGTATAACCCTGCCAAGAGCAAAGAAGTCACATTTCAGCTTTAACTTTTAAAAAGGACTTTTCAAACACTCTGAAGAAGGTCTATCATCCTATAAAACTTGTGAGAAAAGAACACTCGGTGCTGGACTTGAAATACCAAGAGAGAGGTTTGGTGAACTTATCATACAATTTTTACTATAATCGACAACATTAGTAAGATTAAAAGTATGAAAAAAAAAAAAACAGCTTTCTCATGCGATACAAGAGTGCCATAAAAGCCTTTTTCTTGGACCTGAGACTGGGGGTGGAAAGGAGTGAAAATTCAGAGAAACCATCAAGAAAGCATCGGGGCTGCAGTGGGCCCTACCTCCCGTGGCTTGCTCTTGATAGAAAAGTGCCGGCGGGTTTCAGGGGCTTAGAAACTCCATGTAAGTTTTATGGATTCATTGTTAGGAAACTTTTCCCTCCACTTTCTGTTTGGAATTCTGAGGAGGCCACCACACAGTAGAATAAAAATGACGATGTAATGTTTACAGACAGAGGACCTGCAGATGCCCAGCACACATTTGACTCACCATTCCTTCTCTGTCTCTCCAGCATGCATGAAATATGACAATTAAAGGTCCCATGGCCCTCATAGGAGACACAGAAGATGGCTAAGAATTGAGAATTAGCATGCTGCTAGGGAATTGCTGCCCTATAGACCCAGGAGACTCCATATCCAAGAGCATAAGCTGGGTAACCCAGGGAGAATGGAGAGAAGACGCCCTGCATCTTTGAGGATCGGCCACATCACAGGGAGTGGGGAGGAAGCAGTGCCCGTGGGCCTGGCTCTACATATTGAACTTGTGGGAGGAAACAGACAACCAGCTGCTCCACTCATGGACCCATCAGCAGTGAGTCAGTGAGGGAACCGGTGGGAAAACACACCTCAGTGGGGCCCAGGAAGCACCACTAGACAGACCAAGGAGAGGTACCCAGGACCAGACCAGGATATGGAACTGAACACCAAACTCCTCCTCATAAAAGTGAGATCATAGAAACTACGTGGAGGAGGAGAAGGCAGAAAGAAAGAATCATCAGCTTACTAAAATTGACTCTTAAATTTAACTAAATACTTGGAAAATTATCAAACACAACTGGCTAAATTCCATTAAAATAACACAAATACATTTTCAATCTTTGGTGGAATTGGCATTTCCAGGGATACACTGAATTCAGTTATCAAGAAATCACCATGAGGGCCAGGTGCAGTGGCTCATGCCTGTAATTCCAATGCTGTGAGGCCAGGAGTTAGAGACCAGCCTGATAACATAGCAAGACCCCCTTCTCTACAAAATAAAATAAAAAAATAAATAAATAAAATGATTTTGCGCAGAGAGAGAACAAACTGAAATTTTTTTTAAAAAGAGAGAAAAATAAAAATAAAATATCCAGGTGCACACCTGCAGTCCTAGGTACTTGGGAGGCTGAGAAGAGGGTATCACTTGAGCCCAGGAGTGATAATTGCACCACTGCACTCCAGCCTGTGCACAGAGAAGGACCCTGTCTCTAAACAACAACAACAAAAACTGCCACGGCAAAGTTGAGGGACAGCACTTCTATGCTCGGAGCAATGAATGATAAAATGATGGATTAGAAATAGCCACTTTCCACCCACAAGAAGATTGCAATCTAGTGGGAGAAACATTTGCATAAAAAAGAAAAATAAAAACAAAGTATTCCTAAGGAAAAATTGAAAGAGTATCAAATATATAATTACAATGATCCTTAGTTGAAAATTAAAAATTGAAAGGCATGGAGCTACCTTTTATTCCTATTTCTGCACTAACATTCTACAATAAAAAGTGAATCTTCAGGTGGAGGGACAATAGATTTTGAGATTTGCATTTCAGTGGCAGAAGGAGAAAGTTAATGATTGCAAGGCCATCTCTAAATTACTTAAAACTCTTTCAGACATAGTTTTCTGTAGAATGGGATGACTATCACATATCTCAAAAGTTAAATGTAATTATGTTTCTCAGATACTTTGTAGACTGTTGGTATTTCGGTAGGTAGCTAGATTATATGATTATCCCTTCTCCGAGATTAACAGTGGTTTTAGATGTTGTAACCCAAGAAAATCACAATACAGCAAAAGCAATCTTGAGCTAACTACAAGGTCTTTAGATCTTATTTTAATTTTTTAATTATGTGAAGGAACTGGATATATCATGTACCTATGAAAAATTTTAATTTGATATTTTGCCCTTATTATGTAACATGGGATAGAATCATCAAATGTGTGAGTGAGCAACATGGTAATGTCACTGAAAAGGCTCTATTATAACCCATTACTCATTCCTGAGCTTAGCATTGTAAAGATACCAATACTGATCTCTAGCTATAAAAACCAGTCTGGAATTATTTGCTACGCCATAGTAATCATTCCTTATGTATTATAAAGGGATTCAAAATTAGTGATCTTAGGAAAATCTTTATCAGCAAGATCTGTTTGGCAACTTCTCTTGTTTAAATTGCAGGGGATGTCAGCTTCACCCACGGATCTTTAATACATATTAGTTCATTTCCTTTCCCTTTCACAAATCTTATCTAAGACCAAACAAGCCCATTGTGTCATTGATAACAGTACATGAAAAGGGAAGTCAGGACCAAGTTTCATAATCTTTAGGATTTTAAACCCAAGGACTAACCTCAATATTCTCTTTTATTTGTATGTGAAAACAGCACTTTTTATTACTTTAAACATAGAACCAATTCTTGTGAAAGAAACCCCAACAAACTTCATGTTTAAGAAAATTAGTAGAGGGATTTGACTGACGTTTATAAAACAGAGCTGAACTTTGCCTTTTAATGTACATGTGAAACAAGATATAGTAATACAATTGAAAATTAAGATATTTGGTGGGGTTGAGGGAGTAGGAAGAACTATAAATAACTTAACAAAAGAAAATATGCAATCTCCCACGTATCTGCAAGTGAAAATTTAAACAGAGAAAATGGTGGTTTATGGTCATATTTCACTTGTCATACAAAATTTCCAAGGCAAAATTTTAGATGGTTATGAATTATGGTTATTTGGACTCATAGAACATTTAGGCTGGAATATCTGACCAACTCCACCTAGATTAAACAAGACACGTTCTAGGACAATGTTTGCTGCTTCTGCCCACAATTTTATCTTTAGCTCTTGGTGTCTTTCTCTGCATTTAACACTAAACTCAATACATTTTTATTGAATTAAATACATTCAATTAGGCACTGTTCTAGACATTGAAGATGCGTTTGTGATTCAGATGCCATAACTGAAGAGACATTAGAATAAAAACATTTCAAGCTACGCATTCTACAGAGAAGGAAACCAAGATCTTGTAAGATAGCAACTTTGGCAACGTCTCACGACTGATTAGTTGTAAGAAAAAACTATAATGTGAGGTCCACACCTAATTCATTGTTTATTCTCTGACTAGACAACACCTCCTGAGGCAAATCAATTCTTATCGGCTACCTGGTATGTTGTGTCAAAATGGACTTTCCTGCCATAACAACACAGGTATCCTTTTGGTCTTAGCATGAACCATTTAATGATATTTTTATGACATTATATCCTAGTTGACAGTACAACAGCATGGGATAAATTTTCTATTTAAAAACATGATGAATCATACATATGCTGCTTAATGGGGTAAAGACTAACAGCTTATGAAAATATCAATTTAGAAAATAGTGGAGCCCTATGCAATATCTACTAAGTATACATTGTGAGTCTCTTTATTTCTTTTCTTCCTTTTTTTTTTTTTTTTTTTTTTTTTTTTTGAGACAGAGTCTTGCTCTGTCACCAGGCTGGAGTGCAGTGGAATGGTCTCGGCTCACTGCAACCTCTGCCTCCTCAGTACGAGCGATTCCCCTGCCTCAGCCTCCGAAGTAGCTGGGACCACAGGTGCATGCCATCACACCCAGCTAATTTTTTGTATTTTAGTAGAGATGGGGTTTCACCATATTGGCCCGGATGGACTTGATCTCCTGATCTCGTGATCTGCCTACCTCGGCCTCCCAAAGTGCTGGTATAACAGGTCTGAGCCACCAAGCCCGGCCCTCTTTTTATTTCTTTTTTCCACTTTGTAGGCAAATTTATAGCACATTTATGGAAGAAAAACACATATTTGTGTATTTTAAATTTTATTAGAATATTCTGATAAACAATGCATTCCAACACGGAGGAAGAATGAAATGCCTTTAGGAGGTATTTTAGACTCTATATGTTACACTTCATTATGATTAGATACAAGTTATATAGAACTTATCACCCCCATTTTTGTTTCTATTTATTGCAGTATAAAATATTTTATAAAAGTAACACCAAATACTTACTACACATGTGTTTTCCCTTCAATTATAATTATGGAGACTAATTAGAAAATGCTTAATGGTATGCAGTAAACACACCTCAGAATAAATTAGGGGTGAGACATAGTTTTTGTTTGTTTACTTTTTATTTGGCTTCTTAATATTGTCAATTTTGGAGGAAGATGCTAGTAGAGTGTTTTCATAGACACACACACACACACACACACACACACACAAAACTAATGAATTGTTGGTTCTTTTCCCCTACAAGAGTTCACACTCCTCTAGATTGTGACCTTCACCCAAATATTAGTAAAATGTGCAGATCACACCAGCCACTTTACTGAGCAAGAATGGAAAAACTTAGAGTTCTCAGAAAGCAGGGTAGAACAAGCTTTCAATAAAGAACTATAGTGATCTGGGGCCATTATGAAAATTGACTGAAAACTACCTTGAAAGTCAAATCACTTGGGTCCATGATTTAACTGCTTGAAACATGTTGATCTATGTTTTTGTCCAGAATGCCTAACAGTGATCACTTAGGCCTCTGAAAGCCAAAGATGTCTGAGAGCCAGAACCGCATGTTGACACCTCAACAACGCTTCTCCAACAATCAATACAAATAAGATGCACCCAGCTCTCCAGAAGGAGACTGCTCTCTTGTTTTCAGAAATTAGAGGAATGAGATGTGCCTTCACAGAGGAGACTCCAGGAATTGAAAATCTTAAGTATTTATGTTTTATGTCTTTGGGAATAAAGACTACTCAAGGAATGGTCAAAAGTGAGACATCAGTTTGTTAACTAGAGAATGTTCGAAGGAAGGAATGCACAGAAGCGTTCTTAGGTAGGCACTTTTGCCTCACCTGAAGAGCAAATAGCGTCATACTCTACAGGTGGCCGCGTTATTCGTAATGGACAGCTGAAATGCTGAAATGCACGGCAGGACAGCAGCCCCCCGGGGCCTAGTAACAAGCATGCAATTCACAATGGAAAATTAGAATGCATTGCCCACAGATGCATGAAGGAACGCTTGGGAAATATGTTGTACAAATGCTTCATACAGAGAAAACACATTTAAAGATGAGAGTTAGGTAAGGATCTGTGGTCCTATGGAGGAAATAAAGCTTATTAATATGGTAAGTGGGATAAAAGGTTCCATTTGCGCTCATACCTTCAATTCAAAGGACTCACACCAGAGCGGAATTTCATGAAAGACGATGATTGTAACAAGAACGGCATTTAATGTTTATGTCTTTGAGATCAAGTATATACATGACCAGCAGAGACTTTGTGAAGAAGAGAAACTTCATAAATGTTTTATTGGACAAAAATAAAGTGTTTTTTTTTCCTACAAGAGCAAGTTTTCAGTCTCAGAGTGTTCAAAAAATGAGAAATTTCATAAATACAATATGTAAATATAACTTTTCTCTTGTTTTTATTAGTAATAATACAGTCTTAATGATAGAAAAATACATTTTAGGGTGAATAATTAGGTAACGGAAATACATAACTTCATGATCCAAAAAACCACTCATAGCATTTTGACAGATACTCTAGAAAATGTCAAACGTGTAGATACATATTTATTTTGATGGTATTTCATTGTATATATGATTTTGTAAAAATGTTAGTTACTTCTAAATAGTTTTGGTAGATTTCTTATAAAGTGAATTTTTGACAATGCATTCAGCATTATTTATAATTTATAGTATTTCCCTATTAAATACAAATAAAAACCTTGAAAAGCATTCTTGTGAACAAGTGTTTGCTCCCTTTTTAAACTTTTATCCTTGTGAGGAATGGCTTACGTGTTCCCCACAAAGAAAGAGCTTAATGCAATGAGGAAACACTTAGGTAAGTGTGCCCACATGTCCTACCTGATACCAGCTGGTAGCTAAGAGCAATCCCACAGTTTTTAATTTATTAACTGGTAAGTTCTCCTATGAAGAATAAGATCTGATGGGAGTGGATAAGAAGGCTTTGTGTCATTAGAATAATATTCCAAACACCACAGGTTTCTCAGACTTGTGTTCTTTACTTTTGGCTTCTTTATTGAGGAATTAGGATTTTTCTCATTTGAATATTGAAAATCACATTTTAAAAAACAGACAAGCAAACTTAAATAGACAACTTTAGGTTCATTTATAGTGAATGTGTTTTTTAAATAACATACAATAAAGAGAGATTTATTATACAATAAACTGTATATATGTAATACATTTTAATCATAAAAGCAACTGCTATTTGATAAGGCCTGTTCCTTTAAGTGCTATATCCCAGTTGACTATATTATTAAAATGACACTGGACAGTGCCCATTTTTAAAAGAAGAAAGCTAAGGTGTCTCCAGCCAGCCCATGGCCACCTTCTCTGTTTCTTCCCTGGGGGCTTCCCTCTGTTCATCTCTATGCTTTAATTTCTGTTTCTATAAGGACACCAATCAGATTGTATTGGTGCCCACTCCAACAATCGGTGCTATGTCCTGAAGCTTCTTCTGGGTACGGCCTCTTTTCTCATCTTGGGGTCAACACATTCTGTGTCAGGTTGTTTTATGATCGACCCTCATTTTTCTCTCATGGAGATGAGGGGAGGTGGGGCAGAACTTGAAGGAGCACACATTGTCTCCCCGTTGTCTCTGAACATCTGACAGGTGAAGCTCAAGACTTTAGTAGGTGGAAGTGGGGCCGTTTTGCAGGATCCCAAAGTCCAGGGAGATTTGGAGGTCCATGTCCTTGGGGACGTCCCGAGCAGCAGCCCAGATGTCTACATCCCATGTCTTCGGATCTCAATCCTTCCCATCCGGGGTCTGACTTTGGTGTAGAGCATTGCTACAGATCATACACCAAGTCTATCCAGAGTTTCATGACCTTTATAATTACGTCCTAGGTCTGATCCTTTCAAAGGCGGGAGACAGGAATTCTGTTTGCATGTTACCAGAGATGTCCAAATGCCTGTCACTTTTTCCTTAATGTGGTAAGTAATCACTCTTTCCTTTCATTAGTACATCCATAGCATTTACTAAGAACCACCTAATTTCTTTACTCTTTAATTATGACTTCCCACACATCTATCAGCTGCCAGGGATATTGCAACTGCTAGTGCATTCTCTTCCACTGTTCCCCTATTCCCATTCTCCACCAGTGGAAGTTTTAACAGCCACATGGCTACTGCATGCTACGGTCTACTCAAAATCCACTCCAGACCAGGGAGGGTCAGACAATTGGCAAGAGACGTTATGCACCTGTAAAATCTCACTATAAAGTCTTCTTCTTCAGACTAGTTTTAGTATGAAGTGTCTGAGGTGGGATTCTCTGGAAACTAGTCTTTGAGGTTGAGATACTCTGGCAGGAAATGTATGGAGAGCACTCCAGTGATAGATGTGGGTGAGTAAAAGGACAAGGCTGGTTACAGGGAGGCAAACTGCGATGCCCTTGGAAGAAACGACCCAGCCAATATCATAGGGAATCTGGAGGTTGGAAAGTTCTTGAAATTTGCCCAGAATTGAGGTATCATATGCTGTATCCTGGAAAAAAAATCACTGGCTGCAGCTCCTCCCAGACGGCAAGACTCACCTTAAGCAAAGAAGCAATCTTTGGCTGAGGGCAAGTCCTGAGGAAAGTGTAGGCAATCTCCTTGAGAGACTCACTGTGAGCCTTCAGCTGACAACGCTGTCCACAGCTGTGAGGATTAAGGCTTCTATCAGGAACTAAAGATCAGGGAAGCATCTATGGCTCTTAGAAATCCAGGAAAAAAAAAAAAAAAAAAAACTAGCAGAGAAAAATCTTTAGTTTAAGGATGTATTAATGTGAGACAGAAGTCCTATCCGCTCTACAATCCATGAGACAAATTGTGACAGAGTCCTCCAGTACCAGTATTAAAAGCAATCCAAGTGTTTCATTCAGCCAAATTGTCTCACCGGGAACAATGCAGGAACAAACACTATTTTCATCAGAGTGCAGAGGATGAAGTGTTCTGCCATGGTGTTCTCAATTTTATTACTATTAATAGAAATTAAAAATTATAAAATATTTTAAAATGTTGGAACACTGAGAAAAAGCATCGTCCTTAATGTTACAAAATGACCGTCTTCATTTTATTAATCTCTCAGCTACCCACTCAGTGACCAGGGACTTTTGCATTGTTGTTACTTCAGGTTGTATTCAATTTCTATCTTGATTTTTTCTTTTAATATTGCTTTAAAAATTTTAAAAATTTAATTTGTTTGAAATATAATTTATGTATAGTAATGTGCCTCAAGTAAAAGTGTACAGTTAGATGAGTTCAAGAGTCATGTACACACACAAACCCATCACCTTGGACAAGATCCAAGATACTTTTGTTTCCTCCCTTCACGCCACGTCACCCATTAAAAAAAAAAAAAAAATTCTTTGGGTTCTTTTGTTGTCGAGACCTATCTCCACCTAGCCCCAGGCAACCAAAGGTATGGATTGTGTTGCTATCGATTACTTTACATTTTCTAACATTGTCTATAAATTGAATCATACATTGTACACTCTTTCACCGGCTTCTTTCACTAAGCACACTGATTTTGAGATCGAGTTCTGTTGTTACATGTATCAACAGTTCATTCTTTATATTGTTACATGGTATTCAGATGAGATCGGGCATGTTCAGGGTGGTATGGCCGTGCTACATAGTATTCAATTGTCTGGATATAATAAATTTTTGTATCCCTTCACTGGTTGATACCAATTCTAGTTTCCAATTCTGGATTATCATGAACATAGATATTTGTACTCAATATTTTGTACGCGTAAGTTTTTATTTCTCTTGGGTAAATACATACAAGTAAGTTGCTAGGACAAATGGTAAGTGCATGTTTAACTTTTTAAGACAACTGTTTTCCAAAGTTGTGGTAGTATTTTAAATTCTCTTCAGTAGTGTATGAGAGTTCCAATCGTTCCACATGATTGTTAATAGTAGGTATTGTTGGTGTTTTTAATTATTGCTATTCTACTGAATGCATAGTGTTATCTTTTTGTGTTCATAATTGCCATTTACCAGATGACGTAGTAAGCATGTTTGATGTGCTCATTAGCCCTAGTGACTTCCCTTGGCACTCTTATCAAAAACCAAGTGTCTAGTTGAAGAAACAGATTCACAAAATTGGACAACTGGATTTTAGTAATAGTGCCAAAATAATTTCTGGGTAGGGATTATGGAAGACTTGCTTCCTGTGTACACGCACGTGCGTGTGTGTGTGTTTGTGTAATTTCTGTGTTCTTCAAATTTTCTGTATTAAGACATTACTTTTCAGCCATAAAATCAGAAACTTTTTTTTGTAGGTAGAAAGGTATAAGAAAGTTTATAGTCATTGGTTTTCAAACATCTTATAATTATTTTATAAACCCAAGAAATGCAGGGCTGTAGGGACTCCTCTTTGAATTGTACTTCTGAAAAGAAGAAACTTCTTTTCAGCTATGCTGATGGAAAGGATTTCATCTCTTTTATTAGTCAGTTAGTACTATCTTTCAAGTTATCATAATCTCATCTGCTGAAACTGAAATTATTTATGCTGAAGGTTTTCCAAACAATAAGTAAATTATAGTGCATGATGTTTTCATACAAAGTTTCTGACTGAACATTTCTTTTTGAAAGAAATTTTAAACTGAAATAAAGCAGAAACTTTATATATTAAATTCAATTTGATTTCATTTTCAGTAATGCTCTCTGATTTAAAAAACACTGATTTACATAAGTTGAATCAGCAAAATTTTTGCAATTAATTCTAAATATGGCAATATCAACTTTTACAATGATTGTTTCCTTTCCTGGGTTCCTAAGGATTTGCTTGGATTTCCGAAATTTATTGAAAAAATTAATTCTAAAACATAGGATTTATTTTACATCTGTCCTATTCCATACAAATTCTAATATTTTTCATTATTAGAATTACATCTAAGGAGATTGATTTTTGGTAGGAACAAGTAAGAGATAACAGTGGTTTCTTGAATGTGAAAAATGAACAGAACCTATTTATTGAGGCGTTTCTGCTCACCATAGTGTATGGATTAATGGTTACATTTAACTATAAATCCATTAAAATGTGATTTCTTAAATCCTCCTTTTCTTCAAGTAACTTTTGTTAGGGGACACATTGAATACTAGGTGTTGATTTTCCCACACCAGCTCCTCTCGCTGGGCATGAGTGGATGCATACAGCAAGAGGATAAATCGGGAGTAATGACTCTCACAGGGCATGAGTAGATGCATACAGCAAGAGGATAAATCAGGAATAATGAAAGGCCATGCAACAACAACAACAACACAACACCTCCATGTAAGTGCAATTCTGAGTCAACCTCTTGTATTAAATGCCACCAAAACTTAGGTGGTATTAATTGTTATGGGGCCTAAAGTAACATAAAAATCAATGAGCCAGGGACTATAACGGAATGGAGGGAGGGCTGGCCACACTAAGATGGTGATGGATCACCCAGATGGTAAATTGGACCATAAATCTTTGGTTGGGTAAATAACGTCTTACAAGGGGCCTTACAACTGCCTTTAAATCATGCATGTTAAAATGTGGAATATGTCCAAAGAGCAAAACTGAGGTCCATTGATACAACTCACACGTGGAAAGAGCTGAGTCTCATGTGCTGGGCTCTCCCGCAGCGTGTGCACCTGGAGCCTGTCTGTCCTGCAAGGCACTACATGATAGAGTGATCTCCCCATTTTTTCTTATCTGGGATCCATCAATTAATTAACTGGCCCTTTCTGCCTAGATTTCCATAACCTCATTATAAAAGAGAAGAGCTTAGAAAGCATCTGGTGACCTGGAACCTACCAAGATGAAAACCATGAGAAAGTATCCAAGAGTTGTGTAGGTTTAAGTATATATCCACACTTCCCCTTTGGAAAAACCAAGGATAAGTTCTTCTCAATATATTATTTTCCCAAAACTCACCCCCAGCCACCAAAAAAAAAAAAAAAACAAAAAAAAAAACAAAAAAAAAACAAATTATAAAACACCAGTGAAAACACTTCCTATTGCTTTAAAAAGCTAGAAACAGACTGTATAATTGTGGCTTGACTTGGTCCTTCTTGCTAATTGTAACAACATGGGCATACACACTCTCTTTTTAAAGAAATATGCTTGGACTTCAGAAACATGTGGCACAGAACACAAACTCCCACTTGTTGGAATAGTCACCAGTCATCAGACGTTCCTAGAGAATAAAAATTAGTGACACAAAGTGAATCATGCCTTTAAAATTGCCATTCAAGTAATCAGACAAAAAATAAAAAATAAAAAATAAAAAATAAAAAAAAGAGATATGGTGCTGAGTCACTCAGAACTGGAAATAAATTTCGGGACAGCTTTTACAGGCTCAGGGAACTGGCTTCTTCTCTTATCTTCAAGGCAGCTTCAGCTGAACTAAAACCAGCGCTGGCATTCGGAACACGGTTTAAGAAGATATAAAGAAACGAAAGATGTTTTTTTTTAAAAAAAAAAAGCCTCTTACGACTATAAATCTACCATTTTAGGGTCATACATTGATAGGTAGGTGGGTCGGGATTGGCAAAACTTGATTCAAGTACACTACTGAAGACAGCAGATGGTTTGTGGTTTCTTTCCACCATTGCACTCCTTCCTGCTACTTATTTTATATTTATATTAGGGTATGGTCACAATTCTCAAACATATGTCTTTAATACTGAGGAATCAATTTAAGTAAGGATGAAAGTCTTTTGATTATACGCATACAGAAATTATTGTGTCCTTGATAAGGCTTCCTAAGTTATAAAGTGGTATTTCCTTAATTTGTCTAAACTAGATAATTAAATAGGGTGATACTATTTTAATAAGACATTCAAACTGGCAAGTTGATTCATTTGATTGAAATGTAAAACCAAATGATGATGTAAAAATTCAGCTTGTTAGTAGAATCCTTCACAATATGGGGTCTCTCACCCAGTCATTTTTGGTGACAAGAAAATTTAACTTCAGCAACTGAGGCTGTGGAGAAAGATGATACCATATCAGCACCAAAATGGATAACATTTCAAAACCGAAATAGCTTCATTTTGTTACAAAAATATACTTTTTATGAATTTTACCAAGAATACACTTTTAAAAAGAGTATAAGATCCCTCATTGTGTGTTAGAGCTATGTTGAGGCTTTTAAACAGCTTATATGGAGTTGAAATAAGTAGCGTGTGATAGGAAAAAGAGTTCAAGTTTGAGAAGGTATTTATGGGCTAGGATCTCAGCTGTGATCCATCCTAGCTTTCAGGCCCTCCTTTAGATTCTATTTTTTTCTCAACTTGCTTAAAGCTAAACCAATGGTTTCATCTATCTACCTTCATGACCCCAATTTTTAGCCTCTCTCTCTGTAATCATCTAGACTGATTTCTTTTGTGAAATAATAGAACTGCCTTTGTGGTCACAGCCATTTATTCCTCCTCTTTTTGTGACCCAACATCTATACCAATCCTTTTAAAAAAATATTTTCTTTGTACCATAAGCCCATAGATGCCATCCTTTATTCATATTTATCAGCAGCTTCCAGTCTTTGCTTTCCTCCACTGTGGCTGCAGACTCTGTGATCCTCTTCCCGACACAGTCTCCGGACGGTATTCCCAACTTTCTTACTCATTGTCCTCTTATCAGGGATATTAGCAGAGAGATTCCAGTCTCAGTTGAATATAACTGCCCACCTTCTCCCCTTTCATATTAGCGATTTTTCAAGGGATAACCTTTCTTGCATGCCGTACCTCCCAAACCTTAAAGTCTTCAATCTCCATAGAGCACTGAAAAGTTACCAGGTAATCCTGCTATACTGCAGTCATCAACCCGTTTTATTCTCCATAGTGGCAAATACGAATATTCTTCTTTCCCCTACCTTGTCATTAACCACAAGAGAAGTTGTAACTCATAGAAAAAAAAATACAAATTAACACTTTTTAAAACTCTTTCAACTTCCTGTCAAGCCTAAAATGTTCTGGATTCTATATTTACTTTCCTTTATCCGTTCTGAGAATTTCACTTCCTGTGTTTTGAAAGCAGGGCCCAGTTCAGAGCATAAAACATTAATTCTGGGATAAATTATTCATGGAAAAGTCGTGTGCGCTGATTAATCAAGAGTTTTGAAGCAGAATCCAGGGCATGACACATCACTGAGACATACAGCTACACCTTCAAGGAGGTCCAATGATGTCTCCAATACCTGGAGGAATTCGAAGTGGAACAAGGACTGGGGTGGCTGACTTCCATTATGGACATTCTCTTTAGATCATGTAGCTTCACAAGAGTGCAATGTCTCTGCATAGAAAAAATAATCATCCCTCAGGGGAGGAATTTTAGGCTCGGCAGAAGTTGATTTTAAGATCTTGGGTTAGTTAGTAACATAAGGTGAAGGAACCTAGTTTCATTGAAGGCATGCCACGTGGATAATATCAGTGAGCTTCTTGAAATAAGCATGAAGTCATACTTACCTTTGAATAAGCAAATGGCAATGTGAAATCCATGCCTACAAAGTATAGTCATACTACCAGAAACGTTCTTCTTTTCTCTTCTTTTTATTCCTTATCATTCTCTCTCTCAAACCTGGAAACTAGAGATTGATGTCTGCAGTTAACATTAATTATCTAGCCAAGTGGTGCTTCCTGGGCTGTCAAGGGATATATGGAAGGTTCGACTGGGGTTCCAGACTTTCATACATAGGCTTTATAGAAAGTTTCATTTCCTCTATATGTTGGATTTCTATACTTGGGCTATATGACTATTGTTCAGGTGCTTTATCTAAACGGTCATTCTGGGTGTTGTGGAAGTGATTTGTAAAGAGTCAGTGAAGCCCACGCTATGCCTTTTCTTGATGATGTCTCTATTGGTTCACAAAGGAGGGGTGATAGCTGATCACAGAAATGCCTGTGGGATACATTGACATGTAAAATACATAAGGTGACTCAGGAAAACCAAAACAAGAACTAGGAAAAGCCAAAGGCATACCTGACAGATATTTTAGAGGCTAAGTGTCCCCTGCCTGCTTTGCTATGCTTCCTCTGCATAGTGTGACCTGCAGCTCCCATCAGGTGTGTGGTGCTGTGGGGCCACGGGGAACTGAACTGAGGTGGTCCCAACTGTTCCTGCTGAGAAATGAGGCTCATATTCCACTTACTTAGTTTCAGGAATAGAACTATAAGGTTATGTATGGATGTCATTTGAAGGGAGTACTCTGGGTTATCTATTTCTTTTATAAATTTGGACTTTAAATAAGAGTACTTTATAAAAATGTCTAGATAGTTTTGTTTTTTCTTTTGAAAATTACCTATCAAAACACTATTGTATAGCGCATTATGACAATGAGGTTAAACAGATGTCCTAACCTATGTTCTTGGTTTATTAAGTCCCACCTTGCTTAAAATGTTGAAATAAGCCAGTAAAGATAGAGAGTATAATTAAATATATGCATGAAGAACACCAGAAAGAACTCGGGTCCCAGAGACAAAGGGCAAGATTGGATTCATTGGTCCCTGATGGCTCCTAATGAAACTTTAACCAGATATTTCTGCCCTTAGCTACCGTATCCTAAGTTCTTTCCTTGTAATAAATTCTTCTTGACTTAAACTGAATTGAAGAATCTAATTGGTTGTTTCTTGCAGCCATTACAAACTAAAGCTCTCCACAATTTTTATGTTGCAAGGCCTATGTATTTACTAGCTGCTGGGTACAAAGAAACCTTGTGGAGCCACAGAAAGAAAGCAAAGTGAATAAATTGCATTGTCCATATTTTAAAAAATGGAAAATAAACGCAACTATTATCTAATATTTGTAAGAGAGAAGTGTATCCCCTGGGTCTTCATAGAATAAGGTTTGTGTACTACAGAGAAAGTTATCTTCAAGAACATTCTTACAAGAAACATGACAGTGAATTTCAAAGGATTATATTTATTCAATTTCTTAATAGGAACCAATCTCATAATACCAAAGAGAAAGATAGTAAAGGGAGATCAGTGTGGGTGCTCAAGACATAGAGACTTCATCTAGCTAATAATGATGGTATAAGAAACCAGGTCACCTAATTCTTAGTTTAGTGCTCTTTTTTCTCCCTACATCTTGTATGAAAGGAAGCCATTGACATATGTGTATATGTATGAGAGACATAGAGAGACAGAGACAAATTAATCTCCCCATGATGTTTACGTGTCAGTGATACATTGTGAACTGGTAAAGAAAAATCTTTCTCTTCCATCCCGCCCCTCACACACACACACACACATACACACACACAGCACACATACACAACACACACAACACACAGACACACACACAACACACACAGGAAACACACACACAACACACACACACACACAACACTGCTGAATGAACCTAATATAGGTGAAGGAAAACCAATCTTTCTCTGTGGGTCTAAATGTATTGAAAATTGGAGGCGATCTATTATTTAGTAATAGAAGAATTTCAGAAGAACTCTGAGAACCAATGTGGTATGTTTTCCCCTGGGTTCTTGAGTACTTTCTATTTCTTTACATTCACTAATCTAAGCTATTGATTCCAACCTGGGGAAGCACCTAGTCAGATAAGTCTTACTTTGGTTTGTTAGTTTAACCTAAATAATTTAAATGAAATAGAAAATCTCAATAAACTTTGGGGAAGTGGTTTCAGAGTCCTCATCTCCTACATTAAAGCAGTGAAAAAAGTTAACCTTTTTTTTTCTGTGATTGCTATAATGTGTGGAAATACAGCAAGCATTTTTCCTTATTCACTAGCCTCTTCTCTACGAACTCTTTTTTCTGTAATTGCTCCTGTAACTCCTATAGCTCTGGGTTGTAGAGGGAAAAGTAATATCTGTGGTGTTGAGTCCACTATTCATCATAGGATGTTAAATCTCAAAAAGACAGATCATCTAGATTTATTCTTTAATATTACAGGTAAGGAAATATGAACCCAGCCAGGAAAAATCACTTACCTAAAGGCATATAAGTAACAGAGGATGGGGTAAGGAATAGAGCCCAGGATGCTCACTTTTAGATGAGTGCTCAAATGTCACCAAAATCAGGTGGTCCCTCCCTTACACTATTCACTGATAATAAAAGAGAATTTGACTCCCTTGGACAGCTATATGAACCTCCAAAGTCATTGTTTTCACTTATCCAATCGTCTTTCTTTCTCTTTCCATTGACTAATTTTTCTGAGCCTTCAACATCTGTAGTTATTTTATAAACTATAATTAAGTGATACTAACCTATTTAGGGTGACCTCCCTTGATTTAGCCCAGGCATCTCCAGTTTTCCATGAGCCAGCCTCTTCTTGATCATATTCTGTGATGAGGTCCAAGATGTTTTATTTCATCTGGAGATAAACTCAGAGAGTTGGAAAGTTCTCCTTCACAATCAATTTACATAGTTCCCTAGGCTGCTGGCTTATCGATTCTAGTTCTGTGCCTTTCTAGACTTTTAAAAAGCTGGAGTGGGGACTCCTACATGTGAGGCTCTTTCACCTATTTGCTGTCAGGGCTCAATTCCCTTTGAGTTTGCCCATCATGCATCCAGCGTCTACCCATATTCTTGATTAATTACTAAGATAAATATGTACTGAGCAACTTCTCTGCATCCCACACAGTGCAGGTAACTAAACAGAAGGTGGAAAAACATGGAATATATTCTTTTATTAGTCCTTTAATCTAGGAATGGGGTAAATATTAAACAGATAACTACACAAAAATTAGGGTGTTGTGTAAGAACAAAAAGCCAGAGAGCTCTGAGAGAGTAAACCAGAGAGGCTGAAATGAGTCTAGAGAAATAGGAGACTCGATTTCTCTGCACCCTGTGCTATTCTACTTTCATTCAACTAGGAGATTAAGAGATGCTTTCTGTGACCTTGGTCACCGCTAGACGATGGTCCCCATTTAGTCATTTATCGTGTTTGTTCATATCTTTCTTGCCAAGAGGTTCTTAGAATGTAACACAATGTTTCATTTGGTAATCATCTCACCAACAAAGAGTAGGGTATAACTACCACATTTACCATTGCGGATGCTGTATTTCTCCTTATAGTTATTATTTTAGAATTGCTGCATGTGTTTAATTTCGGATTTGCATTGAAAAATATAGTCTTACTGTACAATATGTCAAACATGTGAATTATGTGTAAAAAGCAAGGAATATATCATGTGAAAATGAGATTGTGAATATGTTATTAATAGTAAAATGTCAGGTGGAAAAATAGGCAGAGTCCAACTTGGACATATATCTGTAGCTTTCATTTTTCCATCTATTTCTCTCTCTCGACACACACATGAATATGTTTAAGTTAAGACATACATGAATTTATTTACAGATAAGACACACATGAATTTATTTATAGATAAGAGTAATGAATGTATGTCAGACATCATGCGGATTTATGAATTTGATGTTTTGGCTTCAGATGGATTATCATGTTATCTCCGATGTTCTCTCAGTTATGACCCAGAAACATTTCTTATCAGGGGCAGAACTTACAGTACCTCTTTTCTTCTACCCCCTTTCCCAATCCTGACTATTACCTGCTTATTTATCACCAATTACAACATCTTACATGGGTCACAGCTACTGCTGCAGGCTGGTATGAACTCCTGGTGTCTTAATTCCTAGTTTTTGCTGTTCAAACCCCTTCCAAGACAAAGAAGAGTCTCAGAACTCTGATGCAGCTGGAAGCTGGAGTGGAGCAGGGCAGCCTGCCTTTTTTATTTGGGCACCAATGAAAACAAATATCTAGGGGTGACAGTGGGTTTCAAACTAGAGAAATCATTGTGAATGGAGAATTCAAGATACTGAGTCTGGACTCTGCGACCCTCTTGCATGCGACGGGGACAGAGTCAATTCTGAGGCCAAGTATTCACCGGGCAGTGGAAGCCTTATCTGAAGTGTATTTCCAGAAGGAAGGTGAGAGAAGTGTAGAAACCTGGAGATATTTGGTACCGCAGACACCAGGCCTCTTTCCTTAGTGGTTCTGCCCTGAGAAACATGAAGCCCAGTTTAGGTGGCTCTCCCAGTGTTAAGCCATATGAAACTTTTGTTCAAATAATTACTTTAAAATGTGCTTTGCTTGACAATGGCAAGTTCAGAGCTATAACCCATCACCAGGAACCTTATTTTAGGGTTTTCTTCTTCCATTTTCAAATGTAGTTGCATATGGCCTACCTTATCCATATACCCCATAAATATATATATCTACTATTAATATGTGGCCACACAAATTGAAAATTAAAAATTAGAAATAACATGGTGAAACCCCGTCTCTACTAAAAATACAAAAATTCGGTGGGCATGGTGTCAGGCGCCAGTAATCCCAGCTACATGGGAGGCTTAGGCAGGAGAATGGCTTGAAGCTGGGAGGTGGAAGTTGCAGTGAGCCAAGATCGTGCCATTGCACTCCAGCAGGGGGCAACAAAAGCAAAACCCTGTCTAAAAAATAAAAAATTAAAAAAAATTAAAAAATTGAAATAATAAAACCCTGATTTTAAAAAGCAAGAACCAATTTGAAATAAAAAATAATAATACAAAAAAAGCTAAGGGAGCAAAAGTTATCAAAAATAAATAAGACAGTGATTTGGGAGGTTGAGGTGGGAAGATGGCCTGAGGCCAGTAGTTTGAGACCATCTTGGCAACATAGCAAGACCCCATCTAAAAAATAATAATATAAGAAAGGATGCAGAAATGAAGATCTACAAAGACCACTTTTAGTGAAACAGTGAGCAGAGGAGCTTCAGGTCTGCAGAAAATGAGCCTGGAAACCCTCAAACAATCAGGGCACACGTCCCTTCTCTCCATGCTTGTCTGCTCCATTCTTCCAATTGCAGACAATTTATCAGGTAACTTGCTGTCAGGATGGTCCAGGTGTATAAGCTTCAAATCCAACTGAGGTTTCCGGTTCCAGGGATGGAATCAGATGGAGCAGAGTTGCATAGCATGCCCATTCTTGAACAAATCATTGTAGCCAGAGAAGCAAAATGTTCCGAATGACAGAAATCAGTAGAATCAGTTAAAGAATCATTTCCCTGAAAGAGGGTGTTACTCTTGAAAGAAGTGTCTACAAGGGGCCATGATAACCTATTACTCGTCATTCCATTGTTTATCTCCAGAGCACTGTGCTCCATTTTATCTAATAAGTTATCTCTGTTGAAGACTTTTGTATTTATTTATGCAATAAATATCTTATTTTAAGACAGACTATTTCTGAATTTGGGAGTGTTTTTCCCCAGTATGAACCCTCAGGGCAAATGGGCTTGATGTATCTGTCTAGTCACAAGGCTTTAAGAGGACACAGTAGAAGTGAAGTTATGACAGGCAGGAAAGAGAATGATGTTAGCAAGAAGTCAGCCCCGAAGCTGCAGCCAGTTGATTAGATATTATAACAATCCTCTTAAATAAGACATTAAGGAGCACACAGGAGAAAGTACTGATGCAGCAAGATCTGTTGAACTGGGTAAGGGTGGGAGTGTTCTAGAGGGAGCTGACCACACACACCCCAGGAGCAACTACAAATTCCATTTCACGATGTGATCTGTAAAGTGTACCTGCTTCTGTTAAGGAGTCAGGATTTAACGTGTCATTACTGAACCTGACATGTGAAAGGACTCTATGAAGGCATTTCTTGTCTGGGCATGAAGCAAACATGTGACAAACACACACATAGGTCACAGTGGACCAGGGGATGATGACCCTAAGATTGCGGAGCTTTGAGGGAGAGAAGTCCATTCATTCCTCAGTCGTCATGTCTAATGCATGGTGTAGGGACAGCTGTGCTCTGGAATCAGGCTGATGGAAACATCTTCCAGAGCAAGCAGCTCCTGGGATGCTGGGGAAGGTGAAGGAGGAGTCTGGGGTTTCCGACTAGTTTTGTAATGCCAATGGATGAATAAGGAACAGGGTCATTCTCTCCTCAGCCTACAGGCTCTGTGATATGATGCTTCTCTAGATATGCTCTTCTGTCAGCCTGCTCGTTGTTAGGGTCATGGTGCTCAGCTTAACTGCAAGAAGAATAAGGTGGTTGTTGGCAATTTGCGGGGGGAGGATTGATGTTTGTAAGCAATTCCAATTTATTCTAGCATAATATTTCATTACAATTTTAATAATTTCTCAGGAACATAATATATTAATTGATATGTCTTGAAAAATCATCCATTTCCTCCAGGTTATCAAATTTATAAGGATAAAATTGACAATGTAAGTCATAAGCCTTTCTTTTTCTATACTTGTGATTATTACCCATTATCACACCTAATTTTATGCATGTAGATATTCTCCCAAACCCCAAATTTTGTTGATTAGGTTAAGTCATCTTACATCTTATATTTTGTTAGATTTTTAAGGTTTAGATGATGTAACTAATGCTTTTATTTGTAAAATGATGTGTTAAAACACACGTCATAATCTAAGTGGAGTGAAATACCAGTTCGCCAAGGTAAATATCTTCAGAAGACTGGTGATCATTTCGTTTGCTCTATAAAGCATCATACACTGCCTTATATATATATATATTTTAAAGTAAAACACATTCCTGTTGAGATTTTCTACTTTCTCTTTGTTATCCTTTTAAACCAATATGAAATTTTATTAGAACTTACTGTATAGGCTACATGCGCCTCTGTTATATCTTTTGTAAATCATTAAATAAACTGTTTTTAAACAGATATGCCTAACCTTAGTTACGATGATAATGTGAGGGCATTTTTTCAAAGGGATCCTTAAGTCATATTTGGAGGTCAATTAATGTGAATTTATGACAATATTAATGTCAATACAAAACAGCCAAAACAAGTAAATAAATACACTCCCTGAAACTGATTTTACTGTCAATGTCTCCTTTGAAAATGAAAGTGCATTGATGAAAGGACAGGAGACAGAAAAACGGAGGTGACAAATACAAAGTAAAAGGAATTGCTGAGCAGAGGGAGGATGTACTATGCAAGGAGGGAGAGAGTTCAAAGTTATCCAGATGAAGAAATTGAATGAGGAATGAGAGCTGGAGGATTTGTACATGGTTAGAAGACGTCTGCAGTTGCCTGACCCAACAAATCAGGCTTCCTCTCACTCGACAACTAGGTTGCTTACATTCAATCAAATGAGCTTAATACAGTAACTGACACCACAGTCAGTAAATCAAACGACTGGAGCCATGTTCACAGAAAATATCAGAAGATCATACCAAGAGGTACCTCCCGGGTATGCATAGACCATTTGACTAATCTAAACTCCATTGTTTAGCGGCAAATGATTCTGTTACACATAATTGCAGGTGACTCAGTGGTCACTTGTAGTTCACTTCCTGTTAGTATTTGGGTACTAATAGCTTGAAGAGCCCAGAACATTACCCCATTAAATACTCTTCATGCTCAACTGACAAAACACGTGATCACCATTGCTTGTCATATGTTTCATCCAAGTTAGGTTGTGTGTATTTCAATCTGATGCATATCAATTTTTATAGAGCCAGTGAACTTTAAGGCATTTATTCTTCCGAATATGTTGAACTGGATGTATGATGTACTACACAGAACACAGAACTTACAAAACATTCCTTCCTTCCAAAGCATTTATGGCAATCAAAGTCTTCTACATCACTGAGAAGATATAAAAATCACAATGTGGGCAAATTCAGCCAACCATAACTCAGCAGCCTCTCACACAGCTGCTGGAATTAAAAACCCAAATTCAGTAACGAAGTTCCAGGTACTGAACTTTACAAGCCCAAAGTGAGATTTATAAAGCAATGCATAAATTAAAAAGGGGAATACTTTCTTGCTGGTGGCTGAAAATTGACATATTTATCCAAAAAATCCACTGGTCGGACAAAATATGATACAGACAGGAATTGTGAATATGTGTATATAGAAAAGAAACAAATGCATTTAGAAGAATTTGACCTGTCTCAAAGCTGAATTCTGTCTAGGGTTCCTTCAGAAGCATTCCTGATATGGTGTGTCATGATTATTGCTGATGTTTCAAGCTTGGAAGTCATCACTTCTATTCACATGACAAGAAGGACCCTGCTGAAGAGTGGAGCAATGTGGTGGAATACGGGCCCACATCATTCGTTCTCCACCCTGAAGGAATATCAAATTTTAACAACTATCTGCAAAGAGAAAAGCACCATGACAAGAACCAAAACATCTAATAATCTGATTTGAAAATGGGCAAAAGATCTGAATAGATCTCTTTTATGACCTGAATAGATTAATTTGTATGTCAAAAGAAGACATACAAATTGCAAATAAGTACATGAAAAGGTGCTCAACGTTACAGATCATCAGAGAAATGCAAATCAATACTATCATGACATATCATCTCACCCCAGTTAAAATGGCTTTTATCTAAAAGACAGACAATAACAAATGCTGGCAAAAGTGGGGAAAAAGGAAGCCACATACATTGATGCTGGGAATGTAAACTGGTAAAACCACTATGGAGAAGAGTTTGGACGTTCCTCTAAAACCTAAAAACAGAGCTAACATATGATCCAGCAACTTCACGGATGGGTATATACCCCAAGAGAAAGGGAATCAGTCCATGAAAGAGCTCTCTGCACTCCCACATTTGTTGGAGCACTGTTAATAACAGCCAAGATTTAGAAGCAACCTAAGTGTCCATCAACAGTTGAATGGATAAAGAAAATGAGCTACATATACACAATGGAGTACTATTCAGCCATAAAAAGGAATGAGATCTTATCATTTGCAACAACATGGATGTAACTGCAGGTCGCTCAGTTAAGAGTTACAAGTCAGGCACAGAAAGACACATATCGCATGTTGTCACTTGTTTGTGGGATCTAAATATCAGAACAATTGAACACATGAACAGAGAGAGTAGAAGGATGGTTACCAGAAGCTGGGAAGAATAGTGGGTGGTTGTGGGGTGGGGGATGGTTGGGGAAGGTGCAGTAGGTTAATGGGTGCACAAAAAAGTTAGAAAGATTAAATAAGACCCAGTATTTGATAACACAACACAACAAGGTGACTACCGTCAATAATAATTCACTTGTACATTTTAAAATAAATAAAAGATAATAACTGGATTGTTTGTAACACAAAGGATAAATACTTGAGAGGATGGAGACCCAATTCTTCATTATGTGTTATTACTCATTGCATGCCTGTGTCACAACATCTCATGTACCCCAGAAATATATACACTTACTATGTACCCACAAATATTAAAAATTAAAAAAAAGAAGGAATCTTCACAAATGGAAACTCATTAGCTCTTCTTAGATCAGTAAGAGAAGTAAGGTCACAGAACAAACTACTTTCCCACAAAATTGGAGAGAACTGTCAATACAGAAAATCACAGCTTACTAAAGCAGAATCCACTGTGGGAATCACTACAAGGGAATGGAATCCTGAACTGTAGATGAGCTGCTGGAGGTTCCATGAGGAGAAGCCTGAGAGATAAAATTCTAGGGAGACCCAGTCATGGGGAAACTCCCACACTTGTATGAGTTTTACCTCCAAGAGCTGGACTAAATCTTCATGGTGAAGATGGGAGAAACACCTTTCTGTTTCTGGCATGGAAAGAGAAAAAGTAATCATTTTGAAACACGCCAGAGCACTCTGTTTTTCTTAACAAAGCCTGCCATCAAAAGAAGCTATTTCACTATTGCCTGGTGTGCTGGAGTTTATCAGAGCCTAACTGACATGGGAGAAGAGAAATACCCAAGTCCAGCCTCCTCTAGCCTTCCTGTTTGCCCTAGAGGACTTAAATAACTCTATAGATGAATTGGACCTAACTGACATATATGAGCACTTCACCCAACGACAGCAGAATATACATTTTCTCAAGTGCACATGGAACATTCTCCAGGATAGACCACATGTTAGGCCACACAACAAGGCTTGATAAATCTAAAATTATTGAAATCACAGTGTCTGTTCTGATCACAATGGAATGAGAATGAAGGTATAAAGTTGTAAGAGGAAAAATAATTGGAAAATCCACACATATGTGGAAATTGAACAACACATTTTTTAATTTAACCGATGTGCTAAAGAAGAAATCTCAAGGGAAATTAGAAAATACTTTAAAACAAGTGAAAATGAAAATACAATAAACCAACACTTTTGAAATGCAGCTAAAAATGTGTTATAAGGAGACATAGCTGTAACTTCATGTCTTCAAAAAGAAGAACTATATTAAATCACTACTTTAACTTCATACCTTAAAATATTAGAAAAATAAAAGCAAACTAAACCCAAATCTAGTAGAAGGAAGGAAATAATAATGATTACAATAGCAATTTTAAAAAGAGAGAATAGGCCAGCTGCAGTGGCTCACATCTGTAATCCCAGCACTTTGGAAGGCTGAGGTAGGCAGATCACTGAAGCCTAGGAGTTGGAGACCAGCTTGGACAACATGGGAAATCCTGTCTCTACAAAAATAAATAAATAAATAAATAAATAAAATATGAAAATGAGCTAGGTGTGGTGGTGCATGCCTGTAATTCCAGCTACTCAGGAGGCTGAAGTGAAAGATTACTTGAGCCTAGGAGATAAAGGTTACAATGAGCCAAGATTGTGCCACCACACTCCAGCCTGGGTTACAAAGTGAGACCCTATCTCAAAAATAAGTCAATAAATAGAGAACAGACAAATAATAGAAAAAACTCAAGAGACCCACAAGTTGGTTTTTTTTTTTTTTAAGGATTAACAAAATTGTCAAACCGTTAGAAGTTTTAAGTAAAATATATGACTCAAATAACTAAAATCGGAAACCAAAGTGACACAGTGACTACTGATTTTACCGAGATAAAAAGGTTTCTGAAGTAATATAATAAACATGTTTATATCACCAAATTGGTTAACCAAGATGAAATGGACAAATTCCAATAAACACACTTGAATCATGAAGCAATAGAAATCCTAAATCGACCTGTAACTAGTAAGGAAATCGAATCAGTAACCAAAAACCCGCCAACGAAGTAAAGCCCTGGCCCAGACGGCTGCATTGGTGAGTTCTAGCAAACGTTAAAGAAAAGGTAACACCAACTTTTCTCAACTCTGTTGAAAAATTAAACAGAAGGGAATACTTTCTACTTATTTCTATGAGGCCAGCATTTCCCTCAAACTGAAACCTGACAAAGATACAAGTGAAGAAAATTGTAAAACAATATATCTTAGGAATATCAATGCAAAACCCTAAAAGTAAAACTCCTTGCAAACTAAATTCAGCAGCGTTTTCAAAATGTTAGACACCATAAAATTGTTACATAATACATTGCATTTACAGAATGTAGGGGAAAAATCACATCATTATTTTAATTGATGCAGACAAAGAATTTAACAAAATTCAATAGCCTTTACTGGTACAGTCAGTAAACAAGAAATAGAAGATCACTTCTTCAGTGTGACAAAGATCATACATGAAAACTCACAACTAATAGCACACTCTGTGGTAAAAGACTGAAAATTTTTTCTCTTAGATTAGAAACAAGACAAGTACACCTGTTTTCACTACTTGCATTCAACATCGTATTGGGACTTCAAGTCTTAGAGATCAGGAAAGATACAGAAATAAAAGACATCCAAATTGAGAAAGAAGATGTAAAATTATGTGTTATAGATGACATAATCTTATATGCAGAAAACCCTAAAAATTAAGCAAAAATGAGTTAAAACAAATAAATATGGCAAAGCTGCGAGATACAAAATTAATCCGCAAATACACTAAAATTAATCTGCAAAATACACCGAAAATGAACAATCCAGAAAAGGAATTAAGAAAACAATTCTATTTACAATTGTATCAAAAATAATACAATACCTAGAGATAAATGTAGGAAGCAAAATATTTGTACAGTGAAAATGACAAAATGTTGTTGAAAGAAATTAAATACAAAGACAACCCTTCTGCATGGATTAGAAGACAATATTGTTAAAATAGCATTAATTCCCAAAGCAATCTCCAGATTCAATGTAATCCCTATCAAAATTTCTATGAGTTTTTTTTCAAAAATAGAAAAATCCATCTAAACTTAACATAGAATCTTGACGGATCTCAAATAGCCAAAGCAATCTTGAAAGAGAACAAAGTTGAAAAACTTAAACTCTGTGATTTCAGAACTTAATACAAAGCTACAGTTAGTCAAACAGTGTGGTATTGGAATAAGATTAGTCATATGGACTAATGAAATAGAATAGACTTTCCAGAAATGAACCCTCATAGATGTGGTCAAGCGATTTTCCATAAGGGTGTCAAAGACCAATGGGTAAAGGCTGTTGGGATGGAATGAATGTATTTTTCATTGAAGAATGACAAGAACTTTGAAGGGGGCAGTGGCAAAGCACTATTGACTGAACTGTGTTGCCCCCAAAAAAGCCCTGTCCCCAGTGTGATGATATTTGGAGGTGGGGCCACAATCATGAAAATGTGTTTGTTTTTCATAAAGCATTCTGAGATAGGTGATGTGGTTCTCCTTGAAGTCATAACTTAGTGCTTTGAGTAGCTTCCATTTTGTTGCTTTAACATCTCAAGGGAAGAGAAAGAGCCTGGTATCTGGATTCAGATTTTGGTAATCGTGGAAGTGGAATTCATCCCTTCTGCTCACATTCCACTGACTTTTACCAGCACCTGGTTCCAATTAAACTGCAAAGAGCTGGTAGATAATACATTCCTTCCAGACCGGGAAGAGATAGGGGATTGATAAAAATCTATCCAGTCTCTGCATTTGATGGGTGAGCTACAGCTTAAAATTCTTACAAACTTGTGAAAATTACTTGTTACAGAAGTAATAGCCAAACATCAAAATTATTTTAATTAAGAATGGGAGTGGAGAAAATCCAAGAATTTTAGGTATTTTCCTTATGTTTGGAAAGTTTTTAAATTGGTATTGAGTTGGAAACACAGGTTTCAACTTAAAAGTGTAGTGGAATCAGAAATTAAACTGTGTAGAAATCTGTGAAGTATTGTTTTGTTATTATTGTTGTTTTCAGACTCCTTGATATGGCTTTATGAATGAATTATAAAATGAGGTTTCGGTAACTCCTTTGGGATTCTAAATATATAAGATACAGTAAATTATACAAGACTAGGCTCTTGCCTAACCTAATATATCATCCTAACCATATTATTTGTGCAGAATGAGATAACTCTTTAAAAGAAAACAACATCCAAGGAAAATGTGACCTATTATAGTCAATTAACAACTTTTTCTTAAGAACTTGAAGTGATAATCAGACTATAAATAAATACCAAGTTTTGTCTAATTAACCCTACCTCCTAGCTATGTAGCCCTTTAGAGTTTCTTCTTAGGGTTTGTAAAAGTTCAAATAAAAAGAAAAAAATTATCTTATATGTGCAAACCAGAATTTAGAGGTAAGTAGATAACACCAAAAAGGCAACAAGGAAGCTGGTCAAATCCAAAGTTTCTGGTGATATATTTAAAAATTTGTCATAAATCAACCTTATAACTTCAGTCTTCAGGCTCCGAAAAAAAGTTCACTTAACTAATAGTAAACTTATTTTGTTGATGAAGGAATTATTTTTGCAGCTTTATTAAAGTGTGTCTAATATACAATACACTGTCCATATTTAACATGTTTAGTTTCATAATTTAGGGGATTTTTATATATTCTTGACTATTTCCACAATCAAGACAATAAACATACATATCACCCCAAACAGTTTTCTTCAGTCCTTTGTAACTCCCGCTCCAAAGCCTCCCCAACCACATGCTGGAGCCAGACCATTTTCTGTCACTTTCAATTGGTTTTCATTCTCTAGAATTTTTATAAATGAAACCACTTAATAGCATTCTTTCCTCCTCTCACGAAACATAATGATTTTAAGATTCATTCATGCTGTATATATTAACTGTTCCTTCTTTTTATTGCATTTTATTTCATTCCATAATTATGCTACATTCTGTTTATCACCTATTGAAAGCTATTTGGTTATTTTTCTTGATTTTGACTATGACAAACAAAGTGTCTATGGATATTAATACAGAAGCCTTTGAATGGACATATTGTTTTATTTATCTTCAGTAATTATCTAGAAGTGCGCTAGCTGTATAACACAATATGTGTGTTTAATATTTTAAGGAACTGCAAAACTGCTTTTTAAAGTATTTGTACAATTGTGTAGTCTCGCAAGCATTGTACTAGGATTCCAGTTCTTTCCCAGGTTTCCAAGCATTTGTCTTGGTCAAGTTATCTTTTCTGTTTGTTTGTTTTTGAATTTTACCCGTTCTAATCAATGAGTAGTGAAATTAATATTTCACTGTGGTTTTAATTTCAATCTTAATGGTTGATGATGCTGACTTATGTTCTTATGTGTTTATTTACTATTTATTTACATTTGATAAATTATCTGTTAAAATCGGCCATTTTTATTGGGCCATTTGTTTTGTTATTATTAATTAGTGAGAGTGTTTTATGTGTTTTGGATACAAGTCACTTGTCACATATATTATTTTCAAATATATTTTCCAGGCTGTATTTAATTTTCCACTCTTACCCTTGTTTCTTGAAGAGTGAAATTATATCTTTTTGATGAAGGTTTTTTTTTTTAATCTGTATGTTCCTGTATGGATAGTTCTTTCTTGTGCTGTTTCTGTGACATTTCTCTATCTCAAGGTCATAAAAATTTGCTCTGTGTGTAAGTTGTGTTGATCTTCTTCCATTTTTCTTTAGAGATTTTAGAGTTTTAGGATTTGTATTTAGGTTTGTCATACATTCTGAGATAATTTTTATAAATAGTATAGGTTATGGATCTAAGTTTATTTCATTGTGCGTGTATACTGAATTTGGCCCACACTATTTGTTGAAAAGATCACCCTTACTCTGCTAAATTGCTTTCTCACCTTTATTTAAAAAAATGTTCACATATGTTTGAATCAATTTACAAATTCCCTATTCTGTTCCATAGATAAATGGACAATTTATCTGTTGTTTATTGTTATGCAAATACCATACTGTCATGACTACTGAGGATTTAAAATTAGTCTGGAAATCAGATAGAAGCATTCCTCCACATTTGTTCTTTTTCAAGGATACTTTGGGCATTTTAGGTACTTTGGATTTCCATAAGAATTTTTAAATAATTTCGTCAATTCTTAGAGAAATGTTCTATTTCTACAAAAATTTTTATTATGATTGCATTGAATGTATAGATCAATTTGGAAAGAATTGACATTGTAACAATATTGAGTTGCCAGTGTATAAAAATGAGACATTTCTCCATTTATTTAAGTCTTCGTTAGTTTCCATCAGCAACGCTTTGTAGTTTTCAGCGTATAAGTTTTCAGGTCTATTCTCAGAATTTATGTCAGACAGAATCTACGGTGATCCCACGACCTCCAGTGAGTGTTGGTGGACCCTCTTCCTTGCTTCTGACCACAGAATATGGCAAAGGTCACCGATTATAACTGATTATATTTATGTGATTATGCTACGTAAGATTATGTACCTATCTTGCAAGGAGACTCTCTTTCCCTTGTGACATTGAGGAGCAAGTGGCTATACTGAAAAATGTACCTTGCATGGAGCTGAGGATTGCCTTCACCCAGCAGCTAGCAAGAAACTTAGACCTTCCACCTGAGAGCCCACAAGGAGCTGAATGATACCAGCTACCATGCAATTTTGGAAGGTGATCCTTCCCCATTGAGCCTCAGATAAAAACCACAGATCTAGTTGACACATTATTGCAGCCTCGTGAGACTTGGAAGCAGTCAGCACTGCTAAAGTATGCCCTGATACTCTTATTTTGTTTCTGATGTTAAGGGAAAGTTATTCAGTATGTTATTGTTTTGTATGATGCTAACTGTATGTTCTTCACAGATTCCATTGATCAGCTTGAGGAAGTATCTGTCTATTACCAGTCTGCTGAGAGTTTTGTAATTGACTTTGTTTTTAATCAGAAATTATGTTGGATTTTCTAATTTTTCCCCTGTGTCTATTGGAAAAAATCATATAATTTCATTTAATTTATTAATATAGAGGATTCCATTGGCTATTTTTCAAATTTTAAATAGACTTTATAATTCTGGGATAAACAATGATGGATTATCATATATTATCCTTTTATTTATTGTTAAATTCCTTTTGCCAAACTTTTTATTACGTTTTCTATTTATGCTAATGAAGTATATTGGTCTGTAGTTTTTATATTTTATTTTTCTCTTGTATTATCTTTATCTAGTATTGGCAATAGATTAGTGCTGGCATCATTGAATGAGCTGGGAAGTATTTCTACCTCCATCCATTCTAGAAGAATTGTGTAGAATTGTTATTATTTGTTCTTCAATATTTTGATATGATTTGGACCTGTAATTTTCTAAGAGATAAGGTTTTGAACTACAAAGTAAATTTATTTAATAAGCATAGGACATTCAGGGTATCTATTTCTTCTTGAGTATTTGTATCATTGAGGAAAATTTTCTATTTTAGCGTAGTTGCTGAAGATATTGGCATAAAGTTGATCATGATTTGTTCCTATCTTTTTAACATCTGTAAAATGAAAGTGGATTTACCCATCTTATTCCAGATTTTGGTAATTTGTGTTTTCTTCCTTTTTTCTTTATCAATATTACTAGATGTTTATAAGTATTACTGATCTTTAAACGATCAGTGTTTGGTTTCATTGATTTATAAAATTTTTTTTGTTTTCTAATTTTAAGTTTATACTCTGATCTTTATTGTTTTCTTTCTTTACTTTGGTTTAATCTTTTCCCTTAGTTCCTTAAAGTGTTAGCTGAGGTTATTGACTTGAGATTCTTCTCTTAGGTGTTTTCTCCTAAGCCTGAGTTTAGCAGTATCTCACAAATTTTAATATGTTGTGTTTTTATTCTAATTCAATTCAGTATACTTTTAATTTCCTCTTTAATTTCCTTTTTTACTCATGAATTATTTAAACATTTATTAGTTTTTGCAAAATTTGATGATTTTCCATAGACATGTTATTGATTTCTCATTTAATCTTACTATAGTCAGAGAATATTCTTTGTATGATTTGAATCTTTTCACATTAATTGAGCCCTGAATAGTTTCTACTTAAGTATGTTCCATGTGAACTTGAGATGAAATATAATGAATACATATTCTGATGTTACAGGATAGAGTGTTCTACAACTAACAATTTGGCCGATTATGTTGATGGTATTTTTCAAGTCTCCTATACCCTTGCTGATTTTCAGTCGGCTTGTTCAGCATTGATTGACAGAGAAACATTGAACTCTCCAGTTACAATTTGCTTGTGGTTCTATCAGTTTTTACATCATGTATTGTGAAGCTCTGTTATTAGGTACATAAGCATTACGGATAACTTTGAGTTTTTGATGACTTGATTCCTTTTATCACTATAAAATTATCTTCTTTATTCCTGGTAATATTATTTGCTCTAAAAATTATTTTGTCTCATTAATATGTTTACTCCAGCTTTTATTAAGTTTATGCTTGCATAGAATATACATGTATATATGTATTTTACCTTCTTTTACTTTTAACCTGTTTGGACTTTTTTTTTTCTTTTCTTACCTATAAGTTTCTTACAGGCAGCTTATACCTGGGTCTTGCTTTGTTATCTAATCTGCCAATCCCTACCTCTTAATTATGGTATTTTGACCACTTATATTTAACATAATGGCTGACAAAGTTAGATTTAAATCTATTATGCTATTTGTTTTATGTTTGTTCTTCTTTGCTTTGCTTTGTTTTTCCTAATTTTCAGCCTTCTTTGAGGCCACTGTGTCTGTGTTTTTGTGCATGTATATAATATAAAACATATGTAACTTTTCAATTTTATCTCCTCTGGTAGCTCATTCTTAAGCTCTTCTTATTTTTGTGGATGTTTTAGAGTTTAGAAGGTATGCATTTTCTAGAAAACACAGTCTACCTTCAGATTATATTATACCACATCAGTTATAGAATAAGAACTTTACAATACTTTAATTCTGCTTCTCTCCTCTTGTTCTAGGCATGACATAGATGTCACAAAGTCATCCTCTCATCAATGTTTATCTATTGTGTAGACCCATGTTTCCATTTGATGTCATTTTTCTGTGGCCTGTAGGATAATATTTTTAAGCGGAGGTCTAATTGTGATGAATTCTTCCAACTTTTGTACATCTATAAGTCTTTACTGTGGCTTCATTGAAAGATATTTTTGCTGGGAATAGAATTGTAGAGTAGCAGATAATGTGAACTTTACCTTATGTGGTATTGAATACCTTTGTTCTTATAACTATTCTTGAGTTTCTTGAGTTTTGTTGTGAAATGATGTTATTAGAAACAACTGAATTCTTTTGGGGCTTGCTTTTAAGATTTGTTAGGCAGTGTTCAGTCTAGGACTAACTATATCTTACTACTGGCCCTGTCTGAGGACCAGGAAGTTTTACCTTTAATTCCTCCTTTTTTTTCCCGCCTAGGCTCAGGCAGTTTTCTCTCATGTATGTAATGATCAATACTGAGATAAGGACTCAGGAGGGCTGCCCACATCTGTCTGAGTTTCTCACTCTGTGGAGCTCCCTCTTTGCTGGTGCTCTGTCTTGAGACCTTGAGCTGTCTTACACAACCTCAGCTCAGAGAGTTTGCATGGAGCTACCTGGGGATCCCTTTCCTAAGCTTTGGACAGGAAACTTTCTAAAGGTAATAAACCAGAACAAGCTCAGTGCTCACCCTGGCACCCTCTTGTCCTCTCGGGAACTAAGTTCCTTTGTTGTCTGAGTTCCAGTGTTGTGAAAATTGTCACTTCCCATATTTTGTCTGCATTTCTGGTTATTTCAGGTGGGAGATTATAACCACATAAGTCTCAGTACAGATTAAAATTAACCAAACTCACAGTCGTTACTAGTAAGATAATGCTAATTCATGATGAGCACTTTTATTGGCAAAGGACCAATACATTCAAATCTCTCCCTATAGTTAAGCAATGTTGGAAAACAAAAGCAGAAAGTCATTTGATGGTTATTGAATCAAAATAAATAGAAGGAGTTTTGAAAAAGACGTGCAGTGGGATCATGCCAAGATGCCCTGATGCATTTTTCTCCCATGAAAAGCCTCCACCATCCATCAACAGGCCTAGAATTAAAGAGCAGGGCACCTATGCTTGCCTCTGAACAGCGTTTGTGTGGACACAGATAACTTTTCCTCATGAAATGCTCCTTTATCTATGTCTCTGTAGCTAACAAATACTACTCTAATTAAACATCTCTTCTTTAGTTGTTTTCATATTTAGATATTTTCTTATTCTTTTTCAGGCTGCATTCAGGTCCTATTTAGCTCTGTCTCCTAAAGTAATTTGCATATTCTTTAATGTTCTATATTGATCTCATTTTAAACTTATAGGAAAGACTTCATTGACCTGATTTTCAAATCCTTGTTAGAGTTCTCAGTGAGACTCAAGGTGTTGGCGGCGGTTCCTAAACTTTCTCACATATTCATGATTTCCCTCAAAAATCATTTCACTGTGCAGCAACTTCAGTACAAACATGTTATCTTTCTATCTCCTTTTTCTCCATGTCTGCATATTCATCATTGTATACATAGCACTAAGTTAGAAATAAAACTTGTTAAATGAATGTATGAATACATTTCCTTCCTTCATGTATTAATCTGAAGGCATTTCAGAATTTCACTTATCTTCAAAATTATGATATTTTATTCTTTTAAGTTGGCAACATTCTTTCTCATTGTAGGAAGTTCATATTTCCTCAGAATCCTTAAGCATCATCTCTGAAGCTCTTCACTCCAAGAGTGTGTGAGTGCATGATCTGTGTACTGTGCTTTATCCTCTTCCACACTTTTTATACAGCAATGCTCTTTATTTCCCTGAAACTCTAAAATGGCTTTAAGTAGTGCTTTTTATAAACATTCTCTGTGATATTTACTTTATCCCAGTTATTTCCTGCAGCCTCTAAAAATACTTTAAGTCTTCTTATCAATTCAATTCCATTGTATGTGTATAAACCTTCCTTGAATAATACGTGATTTGGTTTCTTTATTTAAGATCTTGTTTGTGTGCTACCTTCTGTCTGTTTTGAAGGTATTATCTCTTCAGAAGTTTACTTTTATTTCTCCCATACTCAGAAGGATATCATTTGCAGCTTGCTGGTTCATTGCTTTTATCCTCTGTTTTCTCAACATAAAACACAATGGCGCACTGGGAAAACACATACCCATACACAACTTTATTGACCACATTTGACCTATAATGTGAAATGATTCTAAGTTTTCCTTCTCTTTTCATTGAAAGGTGACTAAATATCCATTTTAGGGAGTTCAGATTGTCATGGGAGGAGTCCAGACAACTCTCAGAAGAACACATGTGGCCACCCTGATAACAGCTAAGCTCCACCCTTCAAGTATTTGTCTATTTTTCCTCTTAGTTCCCACCTTTTGGTATTGTAATCCTTTCTTTGTCAAAACTTTTTGTTACCTTGTTCTCCAATTGATCATCTTCAGTGCATATGATGAAACTCCATGGCTGAGCCTTCTTGTGGGTGACTGTTCATTTATCCATCTTTCTTGGTAGCAGAACACTGGCCTCTTTCCTGATGGCCACGCATCCCAGTAAAGAACACATTTGTTGGTCTCCCTTGCAACTACGGCTATGCAGTGAGGTGTAGTTTAAGTAGACAAATGGAGTTTCTGGGAAGTTTCTTCAAGACAGAAAACTAAGTGACACAGTTCCATTTCACCTCCCACTCTTCCTCTGGCTTCTGATCTAGAAAATGTGATGCGTGATGAAAGGTAGAAAGAAGAAAGAAGACTCCAGTGTGTGACGTTCCTCTTCTGGTGTCCATGTGTTCTTATTGTTCAATTCCCACCTATGAGTGAGAACATGCAGTGTTTGGTTTTTTGTCCTTGCGATAGTTTGCTGAGAATGATGGTTTCCAGCTTCATCCATGTCCCTACAAAGGACATGAACTCATCATTTTTTATGGCTGCATAGTATTCCATGGTGTATGTGTGCCACATTTGCACATGTACCCTAAAACTTAAAGTATAATAAAAAAAAAAGGAAGTAAGAAAGTAGAAATGACAAAACAAAGCTGGAAACCTAGTTCTCTAAGAACTTCAAAGAACATCACATCAGTCATGGACAGTCGACACTGTACAGTAGAAAAATTAAGAAATAAAACATATGCTTTTAAGTCACTGTGGCTACCTGGTAATATTGGTCAAACAGAGCCCGTTGCTCATGGGCATGTTTCCTCATATCATGCTCACTGATCCTTCTGCTTCTCAGATGATCATCACCATTACCAACAGCTCCACTCACCTTTCCATAGGTGAGAACCTACTGGGGGTCTCAACACGTCCCTCAACATACAACGACAATAAAAGGCAGCTTTCTTACCCAAACTGCCATAGAAAGTTTTGGGAAGTCCATATTGTCATCAGAACTCCTTTGAGTAGCCATTCTATTCATATTTCACTGGTGGAAAAATCGTCTTAGGGAGGTTTCCTAAGGTCTCTTAGGATGGCGGAATCAGCTCAAGCTTAGGCCTGACTCAAAAACCCAACCCTCAAGTTCTACTCTAATATTTTACATTTTCATTCCATTTTCTTGTAGCCTGTAATCATTCATTTCATGTGATTTAACCCATGTGGTTTGAAATAAGACAGCAGTCTCATCTTTTCCCTCACCTGACTTAAATTTAATGTGCTTATCTTCGTGAGAATGTCCAGAGCTGCACAAGTCAATAGGAAGTTCCCTCTAGTATGTTGGTCTCAGCCCTGCCCACCCAGCCCCCACAACCATGACTAATCAATTTCCTGTCACACTTGGTCCCAAAACCATGTCATGATCTATGAGCGCATCCTTGTATTTCTCCCACCACTGATCTGGAATGACCTTTAAAATAATAAAAATGACTTATCTGATGAAATTATTTTTCTTTTTTAAAAAAATACTTACATTTTCTGGCTGGGTGGAGTGGCTCATACTTGTAATTCCAGCACTTTGGGAGGCCTAGGCGGGAGGATCAAGAGATCAAGACCATCCTGGCCAACATGGTGAAACCCTGTCTCTATTAAAAATACAAAAATTAGCTGGGTGTGGTGGTGGGTGCCTGTAATCCCAGCTACTCGGGAGGCTGAGGCAGGAGAATCGCTTGAACCTGAAAGGCAGAGGTAGCACTGAGCCAAGATGAAGCCATTGCACTCCAGCCTGGCGACAGAGTGAGATTCCGCCTCAAAAAACATCAACAACAACAACAGACTTATATTTTCTTTAGTTTGTTCTGAAGCTTTTCTTTAGTTAAGGCTACCGTTTACTAGCCCGCTCTGGTACAATGCTGTGTGTTGTGCCTGAAACTTCCTCATCTGCTTTGTATCTAAAAATATACATACATACAAACACAGATTTTTTTCAACCACATTTTACTTAAAACCAGTTCCAACAGATCTAGATGAGACAGCATCATTCATCATCTTTCCTTTTCCTTTTGTTCTTTGCTTAACAGCATTTACCACTACTTCCATCTTTTTTTTTTTTTTTTTTTTTTTTTTTTTTTTTTTTTTTTGAGACGGAGTCTCGCTCTGTCGCCCAGGCTGGAGTGCAGTGGCGCGATCTCGGCTCACTGCAAGCTCCGCCTCCCGGGTTCACGCCATTCTCCTGCCTCAGCCTCCCAAGTAGCTGGGACTACAGGCGCCCGCCACTACGCCCGGCTAATTTTTTGTATTTTTAGTAGAGACGGGGTTTCACCGTTTTAGCCGGGATGGTCTCGATCTCCTGACCTCGTGATCCACCCGCCTCGGCCTCCCAAAGTGTACTTCCATCTTAAACACTGTCTGCTTGTCTCCAGTTCCAGATATTAAATTCTACAAAAGCACACATTGGTCATATTCATTTTTATAACCTCAGCACATAAGACAGTGACTGAAACACAGTGCATGATTATTACACGTATGTTCATGAAATGAATCTTTGCAAACTCCTGGAAGGCGGGTATTTAGCAGGAATCTTTTTGCGTAGCCACAAGGATCTCCATTTTACCAGTAACAAAATTAAAATTGAGAAAAGTGAGGGGCATTGCTAAATTTTCAGCCACTAAGAAGCACAGATTTAGAATGTGAGCCTGCATCTTTCTGTCTGAAAAATCTCGGCTCTTTGAATTGTGTCAGGAGCAGAACTGTCCTCAAAGCCTCACTGTTAATGTTCAGAGATCTTCCCTTTCTCAGCTATTTATCATGCTATTCACTCTCCTTTAGCAGTGACATCTGGCAGGAAACAATGCTTCTTTATTTTTCGCTTGGTCTTCACCGTTAGTGCCTGTTTTCACACTCTTTCTCTCTTAATCCTGAAACGGTCCTCGCAGAGGCTCCCCTCTTTACCCTCCCATGCATTGCTCATTTCTTGCAAGGTGAGCACTGGATGGGGAGGCATAGCCCACATTCGCACCTGTCATTCTGTCCTTATTATGACTTACTTTACATTCTCTTTAGGAGCTTTTCTCAAGGTTTTGATTTTTAACCCCTATTCACTTTCATCCATTCTACGTCCTTCGTGACTTGATTCTGTAGGTGGTCATAGATATTTTGCTCTTTAAAATTGGGAGATTTATTCCATCCTTTCAGGGTTGTTTCCCATGGCCATTTTATTAAACCAAAACACTCCACACAATCATAGAGTTTATGATGAAAAGATCGTCTTCATTACCGATTCCGTGACCTACAGGCAACCAACGTGAGCTGTCGTAAGTTTCTTGAGAGTTACTATAAAATTGTTAAAGTATATGTATTTCCCCTGGCAGCTTACCATTATACCTTCATCTTCCTCAGTCACTCCTCATGTATTTTAAATTTTATCTTTAAACTAATGTTGGTTTCCTAGATTTTAAAAAATTATTTCATTTTAAGAGAGTGTTCTTAGCTATGAACTGCTTTTCTGACCACACAGTGGTTATCATTTTTTCTTTCTTTCACATGAAATAAGTCCATCCTGCTTTTTAAATCAAATAACATCTCCAAAATCCAGGACTTTATAATTCCTAGAATAGGCTTCATGGGTCATCATCTCTCTAACTTAAACCAAAATTCCCTCCCCACTGCCGAGAGAAAGAATAAAGTCTTCTAAGAAACACTTATTCTATCAGAAAAACACTATGGATTTGGACTTAGGTGTTTTTCTTCTAGGCAGCAAATATTTATCCCTTAAATCTAATCTTTCCCTTCAAAGGACATGACTTCTCAACATCTACTTATGCCTAGAATAAGGATCCCGCCATTTTGGAATAGTTATTTTCTCTAAGTATTTCCTAACATCATTAAGCTCTGTCTCTGTCTCCTCACTGGTTCATTTTCCATGCATGGACCTCATGGTTCTCCCCTCTCCTTTCTTTATTGGAAGTTCTCTCCTTTCTGTCACGCCTCACCCCAGCCCCTATGTGTCTCGCACCATTTGAAATTCACCATCCACCCCTCGTCCCACTTCCTTCCTCCACAAATCATCTGCTCTACAACTGTTACCACCTTTTGACTACCAGATGATTGCAAGAGCTATTGCTTAAAAATGGCCCCCTAACTGCCCTCCCCGCAGTCTTGGAAGCTGTGCATGCCCCCTTCTTCTCTTAAGCTATCCTTTCTCTAGTTTGATTAAAGATCAAGGTTAATCACCAGTAACTTCTCTTATTTTTTCTCTCTCTTCTCTACTCCTGTTTCTTGTCTATCTCTTTTCACTTTACCTTTTTTGTTTGTTTTTTTTTTTTTTTTTTTTTGGTCTACAGGACTACAATTTAAAAGCTAAGCAAGTGTTCTAACTATGGTGAACGAAAGCAACTATTTTATTTGCAGTTTGTTTGAACACAAATCCCAGGGAGACACAGATTTTTTCTCTTCTTTAAATTAGTATAATGGAATTGGCAAATGAGCAGACAGTCATAAGTTCTACCTCCTTTGACAAACTTCTGTTTAATCCCTACAGCTATGGCATCAGTTGGGTCAAGCAGTAATATTTCCAAATCAGCATTTCATTTAAAAGCGAACACACATGCTAGGATTTTCTTTCCCATCTGTTTTCCCAACCTGATCATTCAGCAGACCAGGACTATGATGAGGGACATTGTATGATAACAGCTCAGGGAAGTTGCTCACTCTTACTGACATATTACTTCTAGAAATTAGTTTTTAGGGGCAAGATACGAAGGACAAGAAGAAAAAAAAACTTCTATCTTAAATATCATGCCGCATGTTTTTTCCTAATAGTCATGTTATTTTGAATCCTTTATAACTACTGAGATATTTGAAGATAAACACATATGCAATTATAAAAATTTTCTTAAATTTCTTTTAGTTACCTTATTCCTGTTTCTTCTTGTTTTTCTTTTTTTTTCTGCGCCTTGGAGGTGTTTATTTTTAAGACTTCTCTTAATCCCAGTTATCATCCCTAGTTGTAAATTCACTGATGACTATTGGATAACAGCCACATTAAATCACTTTTCTCAAATAAAGAGGTCATTCGGAGCAGCTCATTTATCTATTTAAAGAAATACTTACTAAGGAAGCAAATTTTTCCATCATGTCTTTTATGATGTTTATAAAACTTTAAAGGTTGAAAGTTGATTTGCAGTTATTTTCGTGAGAAAATAATTCCCATGTTCTGTTATTAGTAATGTAGTTTCTGAAAGTAATCTCTCTGTATCTACCTTCCTTAAACTATAGGTGATATTACATTACAGGACAGGAGGATATTTCCCCATAATTTATTTAAAAGTTTTAGAAGCCACTATTGTCACTATAATCAAGATTTGCCAATGATTTATCGAATAAAGTGGTAATTAATTTTGCAGCTACATACAAGATATTATTCCAGTCAAAGACATGAGCAATTATTGACATTTTTATCTACTATATGGTGTGTTCTAATGTACCAGACTATATCAGCTGATATTTTTACACCTGAATTTAGGCTCTGTAAATAAACGTAGGCTAGGCGTTGCATTTTTTAAACAAACAAATTTGGAAACCGCACCCGCCTGCCGTACTAGAATTGAAACCTTTTCTCCATTTCACATCAACATGCACTGTGAGTCATCTTATGCTGTCTCTTCCCTCTGTGTCCACGGGCTCCAGGAAGCACTCACTTTCCCAGTGGGGTGCTTTAGACTATAGTCATTAGAAGGACGTGAGAATCCATCCAACTCTGCCAGATTGAGGTTTAGTTTTAATCACTGTTAATGAAGCTAATGATTTAGTGGGTGGAAAAATGAGTGTTAGGAAGAATGATTAGACTCTACATGAGTTTTATAATGAGCCTCCATAGAAGCTTATTCCATGTCTCAACTGATCTATTTAATTTCAGGTTTGAAAATTATCCCTGAGAATAAAGCAAGATTGAAAAATTCTCAAACTCAAGACATATTCAGGCTGTCTTTCTCTCTCTCTCTCTCTCTTTCTTTTTTTTGAGCTATACAATTTTAGCATTATTTCTTCCAACATCCAAAACTATGTTAGTCTGTGATTAAGTTAAAAATAATTGCTACTTTATGTCAGAAGTTGGAGTTTCTGGATAATAATGAACTGTAATAATTTTCTAGTGACCTCTCAAGACATTTAGAAAAGCAATAAGAGAACTGAAACTCGCGGGTGGAATGCCCATACAGATATGGGAAAAATTTATTGCAGACCAAAAAATAACAACTGATTCTATAACTGGGCCTAAGAGAAAAATCCTCTTTCTCTCCTTTTAAGGCCTCTTACAAATCTCTCTTTTGCTTATTGATTGCTCAAGTGGCAAGAGATACCTAAAAATGGCATCCATGAACAGAGTTGAGGAAAGAAAATAAATACACAGAAATCTGAATTTAATTACTAATATCTCACATAGAGAGGAAATTGGACTAGCCATAAAGGGTCAACACTTGCCTAATGGCCTCTTGCTGCAAATATTACTTCAGGATTATCTTTTCATGGGAAAATAAAGGCATTCTTCTGAGCCTATGAGGTTGAGACAGTCTCTAACCTTGAGAAAAACTGGAAAAATAAAATGGCTGTGAATTGTTTTCTTTTCTGACATAGCAAAAAGGAACTAGTGACAAAAATGTTAGCTTTAAAGTTCACGTTCACAGACTACCTTGGGACTTACATGGTTTAAATAAAATGTTTTAAAAATAAATTTCTATAGGCAATTAAACTGGCAAAATTTGTTTAGGAAATTCTTCATGAAGGAAGTACATGTTTCTTTGGCAGGAAAAAAAAGCAGATTTTCACATCTGTAATAACTTTAATATGTGCATATGTGTTACGCAACTCTTTGACGTATGTGTTTGAAATACGAAGCCACTCTAATCTTGCCCTTTCAAATATCAGAGAGTCATTTATGAAGTTTTAGTAAACCCTGGACATATTGATAGTATAAATGCGATGTTTGCTGGAATAAGAAAGTGAACTGCATATTCTTTAAAAAAATTAAAGCATTTGGGACTCAAAGCAACACACAATTGTTTCGAGTGTTGTGTGATTGAACATAGAAAAGCCAGCTTTGGGACTTTATTTTTAGGTTATTTTTAAATCCTTTCGGGTCTAAATCTGTTTTTGGTTTGAAAGTAGGAGTAAGCCTCTCCCTCTCCAGTTTCAGGAAGATAACAGAGCTGCTTTGAAGAGGGAGATCAACAGTGGGACCTGGGGTTCAGGTGTGCTGGGAAGGGGAGATGCGGCTCAAGTGCATGCAAGTTATCACTTTCAAGAACAGTCCTGAAAGCGGATGATTTCCTCAGTATTTCTAGAGCCTAGCATAAGGGAGAAAAGTAGGAATTCTATTTCTGCCAGGTTTATTTCCTTCTAGAGACTGAATTTCTTTAGAAAAAAATAAATGTTAAGTAAAAACTTGTTATTTTAGATGTGGCCAAGGATAACATTTACAAGAAAACCATCGTAGTATAAAGATACTAAATTGGGTACCAACTGCTAAGGTCAGGGTAATAAGCCTTACTGTTTTATTTTGGAAAACTGCTAGTTGAATTTCTGATTTGTTTTCTTTGTCAACCTAAAAGAGAAGTGCAATAGGAAATACAGGCTTAAATGGTCATATTAACTGACCTGAAATGAAGAAATTATAGATGATTGCATTTCTCTACATAGGAATTTATCATTTAATTGTTCCAGTTGAAATTGGGAGAAAATTTTATTAGCATATTGTGTCATTCTTCCTTGGTTTCTAAGTTATGAAAAGGTACCCTTATTTTGTCACTTTGGTGGTTATTTAGTTGCCTAGACTACAAAATGAAGAATAAAGATATGACAATTTAATATATCCAAAATATAATTCTATGTCACATATACACTATTTTTAGACACACACATATATATGTATATGTGTGTGTGTGTGTGTGTGTATATATATATAGGTTTTATATAAAAATTCCTAGAGCAATCACAGATGCCTGGGGAATTACTTTTAATGCTATTTCTACAGAGGTAAGGAAATACAAATGTGAATGTGAAATTTTAATCAAGGAAAATCCAAATTATAAGGCAATCTAATGACTGTGTCTTCTTTTGAGATAGACACCTGAGGTTTTGAGCACTATTGTGAGATTTTCATCATGTAATACAGTTTATACAAGTTGCACAGTCTTGTGTGGAAACATTATGTGGCATAGTTACTTTCTAACAATACATTTTTTGTGATTTTGGTAAGTTTACATTGAAATAGTAAGTATCCCTATACATGATGTTGATCTGGGCAATAATTTATTTGAATATGAACGCAAAAGCAGAGGCAACAAAAGCAAAAATAGACAAATCAGATTACATCAAACTTAAAAGCTTCTGCACAGCCAAGGAAATGATCAACAGAGTGAAGAGACAACCTACAGAAAGAGAGAACATATTTGTAAATCACATGTCTGACCAGGAGGTAATAACTAAAACATGTACAGAACCTGAACGACTCAATATTAAGAAAACAAGTAACTTAATTTAAAATGAAACAGAAGATCTGAATAGACACTTCTCAAAATAAGACATACAAATGGCCAAAAGCTAGATGAAAAAATGTTTAACTTCATTAATCATTAGGGAAATGCAACTTAAACCATAATGAGGTATCATCTCATATCTGTCAGAATAACTATTATCAAAAAGGCAACAGGTAAGTGTTGGAGAAGATGTGGAGGAAAGGGAATTTCTTGTACACTCTTAGTTGTAATATAAATTAGTATAGCCACTATGGAAAACTGTATGGAGGTTCCTGAAAAACTTTAAAAACAGAACTACCATATGATCCAGCAATCCCACTGCTGGGTAATACATCCAAAGGAAACACAATCATTATGTGAAAGGTAGTCTGCACCTCATGTTCACTGCAGCACCGTTCACCATAGTTAAGGTATGAAATTAACCTAAATATCTATCAGATGAATGAGTAAAGAAACTGTGTGTGGGGGGGGTGGGGGGGGTGTATACATACATACATTTGCATATCATTCAGCTGAAAAAAAGAATAAAATCCTAATTATGCTAAATGAAATAAGCCAGGTACAGAAACACAGATACCGCATGATCTCACTTGTACGTGGGACCTAAAAGAGTTGATACATAGAAAGAAGGAGTAGATGGGAGGTTACTGGAGGCTGGACTTGGTTGAGCTGGGAAGTATTGGGGGCACATTGGTCAAAGGATACAAAATGATAGGAGGAATGATGTCAAGAGACCTATTGAACAACCCAGGGACAATAAGTAAATAAACAGCCATATAAACACAAGTGTCTTTGAGGAATTAGTCAAAGTTCAGAGCTTTGTAAAGGGAAAAGCAATTTCTAAAATGATTTCTGACATTGGAGTGTCGCTTTGTATCTGAAAGCAAGTTGCTGGAGAAAGACTTTGCTGTGTGATGTTTCCATGATCTCTGTATATGCATCTCATACATGGACAAGGTGGAAGTTTCTGAAAGACAGAAAGGTCACAAGAGGAATCATTTATTGTAAAAGAGTGAACAAGGGCATTCCTAAGGTAAAATACACAGGAGGAAAAATCAGGCTGTTAATGAGATCAAGAAGAAGAGAGCATTATGTAGTGTTTTGGACAAAGCTCTTTTCCAGCTGCTTTGCTTTTTTTTTTTTTCTGTCTTCACTGGGTTTTGCCTGGATCACTGTCCGCATGGCTGGCAGCTTCACAGACACCCTTCTCTGAATGCTGCATCTAACGTCATCCACATCCCCAAACTTCCTCCCTAAGGTACCTCCAGTTACTCTTTATCAATTTGACTGCTTGTTTCCCTGTTAACCCAAGTATTCTTCTTTTTCCTTTTTATCCTTGCCCCTCGCTGATTCCATCAAGGCTCTTGACTTTACATAACTCCTGGTTCTATTCTTCCAGTCCAAACATCTCTGATGAACTCCAGAATCATGTATCCAACTGCCTACTTGACATTCCTGCTTATATATCTAATAAGCATCTCCATTTAAGATGCCCTGCAAAGGGCCATTCATGTGACCTCTGAACTTGTTCCGCACTCAGCCTTTTCAACCTCAGTTCATGGCAGCGCCCTTCTTCATTTTCTCAGACCCAAAAGTTTGAAGTCATCCCTGGCTTCTCTGTCGTTCTCTTTCTCCCATATCCTATCCACCAGATAATCCTTTCATTTTATTGTTTTAATTTTTTTGCTGGAGACAGAATCTTGCTCTATTGCCAGGCTGGAATGCAGTGGCTCATTCTCAGTTTACTGCAACCTCCGCTTCCTGGGTTCAAGTGATTCTCCTGCCTCAGCCTCCCAAATAGTTGGGATTACAGGTGTGTGCCACCATGCCTGGCTAATTTTCCTATGTTTAGTAGAGATGGGGTTTCACCATGTTGGCCAGGCTGGTCTCAAACTCCCTGACCTCAGGTGATCTGCCCCTCTCAGCATCCCAAAGTTCTGGGATTACAGGCTTGAGCCACTGTGCCCAGCCTCATTAAAAAAAAAAAAAAAAAAAAAAAAAAAAAAAGATGACATGCCTTAGCAACCGTCTAGATTCTAAGAATGAAATGTATCAATAGAACGATATATAGTTTTACCTCTGTCTAATGGAAATTTGGAAAGTCATATAATATGTAACTCTATTTTCCAAAACTGTTTCAAATGCATAAAGTAACAGGGTTTGTCTGTTACTGGATAGTGCACAAATCAGATATATTATTTTTAATACTGAAAAGATTCTAAATGTTGGGCTTCTGTTAAATCAGCTTTTAAACATTCATAATAAAAAGTATTACATACTTCACATCTCTAAGTATTTGGACAATATATGTAATTTTAAGAGGACATAGTCTTTATAAATTGTGGGGGCAACAAGTTTACTATGGGATGAAATCTCACAGAATGCATAATGTGAGATGAGTGTATTGCACACATGGTAAAAAGATTCTATAATCGTGCACATTGCGATGAAATCTCGCTTTGATATTATTTCCTTTGGATCCATATTGGGAATTCAGTAACTCTATAATGTATCTTTTTCAGAAATTACTGGATTACTAAAGTCACCAAAGTGTCCTATGTTCAAATTTGACATTGCTCTGTCTCTCTCTCTCGCTCTCTCTTGCTCTAAAACAGTAATAAAATACTCATTATTTTAAGAGAATATTTGTCTAGAAAGATATAATGAGTACTCTGGATAGCTACATCCACTTTTCCGGGACAAAAGTAAAACCTCTTATATTTGCAATATAAAACTTAATGTGTTGTATAAATCTATATGACAGATGTTAATCAATTTATGATACATATTTTAATAAAAACATACAACTCTATTGTAGTTGTGTAAATGTTTTTTATTGGGTAGTTTAAGTAAATGCTATGGAAGGTCCTAATGAAACAACCTAAATGAGACCTAAGGCCTCTGTCTCTAGTGTAAAACCCCAGTTGATTTTACATGGAAACATGTTTGACAATGTATTGTCGATTGAACACCTTTATTCTTCTTGAAATCTGCATTGCTATTAACATAAAACCACTGAGCTGATGGTTGAATCTCAGTTCTCTCACTTAGTAAATGTATGATCCTGGGAAACTCGACGAACTTCTTTGGACTCAATTTCTTCCTCTGTTGTTTGACAGTTAACAATGCATACCAATTCCTCTTAAGCAGAGTATTCCAAAGTATTCCCATCTTTCCACATGTTCTGTTGAAGGAGAATGCATAATAACCAATCACAAGATCAATATGCCTTTAGTAGGCACTGTCTGTTTGCTCTCTTTCATATGAGAGACATAACAATAACTGATTTTCCATTTTCAGAGGAGACTAATACTTATTCCAGAGAAGACAAAGACTTTATTTAGAGTTTTTTAGACTAATACTTATTCCAGAGGAGACTAAATGAAAGTACCATCAACCACAAATACACACGGAGCAATCCCCGTATGCCGGGGCCTTTTCCAAGGGCACTGCATATATGAACTCCTCTAATCTTTGGATCAGTGTTTGGAGTTGGGCTCTATTATTTTCATCTCTTCTACAGAGGAAGAAATTAAGTCCCAAGAAGTTAGTTAAGTTTCCAAGCGTCATACGTTTACTAAGCGACAGAAGTGACACTCAACCACTTGCTCAGTGGTTTTATGTTAATAGCAAAGCAGACTTCAGGAAGAATAATAAAGGTGTTAGGAAATAATCTCATGAGGGAGGTGAGGTTGTTATTGCTGTGGAGTTAAAGAGCGGAGCTGAAGGTTTTAGCACCGAGGGCCAAAAATTCCCATCAGCAGAAAATGGAATAAGTCTACTTTAACAAAATGTTCACAAAATGCACATTTAATAATACAAGCTGCATTGATTTTGTATTATTCATTAATATAGAAGAAAGCCTTTAACGCTACGCTTGCTGTTACAGAAGGGCAGAAATGTTAAAAGATAACCAAAAACTAAGTCATCCTTTTCAGTGTGATAAAACTTGCTCTCTACAAGGGGAATATATTCAAATCCGTGGCAGATCTCAAACCATTAGAATACAGATATATTAAATTATTCATCGATTTTGGCAAATTATGAGGAACACAGGTTTTAGAAGATAATCATCTGACTAAACGCGATTTGATTATTTTTAAATAAACAAAACTTCATCTAATTCAAAATGTGGAATCTATTCCCATAGTAGACATGTAGCAGTTTCATTTTGGATGATCTTATCTCATTTCATTTACAAAAAAATAGTATCTTTCACATTCCTAGAATAGTCTTTGTTAGTGCAAGTGGCTTAGTGAAAATTTAGTAAACATATTCCTAAATATTAAATATAGAGAGCCTACCTTATAATAAGCAGCTACAAAGTGGAATGTATTTTTTCTTCTCTCTCACTTTGTTTTACTTCAGTCCATTCAGAATATCAGGCAGCCAAAGAGCAAGCAGGGATCCTGTTTGTTCCAAGCACTGTCCCAGATGCTTAAGGCCCATGGGTGAATGAGTTCCACAGAGTCCTGCCCTGAGCAAACTGGCGTTCCAACCAGATAAAGAGAACTGAATAAACCCAAGACACCTGAAAATGTTGAAGCATAGCTATTTATTTCAAAGAAATTTGTTCAATTCCCATTTCATGGGTGTCAAATAATATAAACTGTGTGTTTTAGAACCCTCTTTAAAAGTAATAAGTTGACTTCCTCTCAAGCTTGGCATTTGGTTGGTGGGGACCCAGGCGTGTTCAACATGCTTATCGAGAAGTATTATTTCCGTTCGGGGCCCATCTACCCTGGCCATGGCATGATGTTCGTCTGCAGTGATTGCAAGCTGTTCAGATTTTGTCAAGCTTAGTGTTATAAGAAACTTTAAAAAGAAGTGCAATCCTCGCAAAGTTGGTGGACCAAAGCATTTCGGAAAGCAGCTGGTAAAGATCTTACAGTGGATAATTCATTTGAATTTGCAAGACGTAGAATCTGAAAAACCTATCAAATACCAGCGAGAGCTATGGAATAAATCTATGGATGCAATGAAGAGAGTTGAAGAGATCAAACAGAAAAGCCAAGCTAAATTTATAATGAACAGATGGAAGAAAAATAAAGAGCTACAGAAAGTTTAGGATATCAAAGAAGTCAAGCAAAACATCCATCTTCTCCAAACCCCTCTTGCAGGCAAATGGTAACAGGTGGAAGAGAAAATGGTACAGCAGTTACAAAAGGATGTGGAGATAGAAGATGTTTCTTACAAATCTCTGAAAATGCCCTTTGGAGACTTGGAACTGGTAAATTATTAAATTTACCAGTTTACTAAACTTTCACTAAACCACTTGCACTAACAAAGACTATTCTAGGAATGTGAAGGATACATTTTTTTGTAAATGAAATGAGATAAGATCATCCAAAATGAAATTGCTACATGTCTACTATGGGAATAGATTCCATATTCCATATTTTGAATTAGACGAAGTTTTGTTTATTTAAAAATAATCAAATTGTGTTTAGTCAGATGATTATCTTCTAAAGTTAAAAAACTTTATTTTTTACATAAGGTCACTTAAATGAAAAGTGATTACAATATATGTCTCCTACATTGCCATGTACAAAACATCAGATATTACGGGTGTTAGATTGCATTTCAGTGTTAAATCTTCACTGATAGATGTACTTATCTATCAGTACATCTGATACTTATGATTTAAGTAAATCATAAAAATTCTACTTATCACTATAGAAATGAATTGTGGATGTAAAATTGTTATGTCATTTGGATAACGGCACTGGCATCATTTGTATAATAACTAATGGCAAAAATTCATGGCTAGTGATGTATAAAATAAAATCTTCTTTGCAGTAAAATATTCCCTTTATTAATGTTGTAGAAGGGAGGATACAACAAGGAATTAACAATTTGTATGACAGCGTCAAATATTATTTTGATTTTAGTATTTCCTGTTTTGGTTTATTTGCAGCTTAGAAGAGCATAATGACATTGTTTGATGAAGCCTCATTATGCTGGACTGTTTTGACCTGGTTTAACCCTTCTGATAGGGAGTTGTGGATGTTGGGGTGAGAACTGAATAATCTTTGCCTGGAGTGACATTACACTCTAGAATTTCCACTTTGGAGAATATTCAGTTCTAACTTGTGATTTCTGGTGGAACCAACTTTATTTTTCCAGCCTAGCAATGATCTAGAAGCAGAGGAATCCCAGTGCCTTTTAAAAGTTATTATGTGGTTTTTCTTTTAGAAAGCATCTGTTTTTAGAAAGTAGAATTTATGGGTAAAACACCTGTTCATTATTTGCACATAAAATCATTTAAAAAGTAAAAAACAAAAAACTAATAAGTTGAGGTGTTTGTAGTATTTACTGACACCCTTAAATAAATTATCTTAAAATTCAAGAATCACATCAGACTTGTTTTGAGATTAAATCATAAAGAATTGAAAGGGGTATCATATTTTTGTAAATTGATATAATTTTTATTTGAACATCGATTTTAATTTGAATTAATTTCATAATTTTTGTAGTGTGCATATGACAGAGAACCAATGCTTTAGATTTTAAAAAAATAGACTCTTTCCAAATATTCTGTTTAAGTCCCAAAATGAAACTTAAAATAGTATTAGCATAATGAATGCTACTATAAATACTGCACTTTCTAAAACTAAATAAGTAGGACTAGTTAGTTAAAATGTTGAAGGCATTAAGTTAACTTCATCATGAAAATTAATGTGAGACCTGAAAAAAGAGCAAGGTGATTGGTGAATAAGAGCAGAGTGAAATATTTTATTGAAAGGAAATCTTGTAAGAAAAATGAAAGACAAAGACGCATTTTTTAAAACAAGAGAAATGTAGGCTGTATTCAACTCCGGAAAGCTTCCATTGCCACTATTTACAAATCAATTTCTCCTCATAACATTCCAAATGCTGATGAAATCACAGAAATTTAAAATCTAAGTGTATGTTTAAAACCTCTTGAGGAGCGATTTCCTTTCTAGCCCATAATGCTCTAGTTAAATATGAGTATCTATTTTTACTATTGTTAATAGTAGGTGTAAGTTCCATTTCCTTTGCATTTTTTTCAACTTTTATAGCAAACCTGAAAGGTTGGCGATAAAACTTTATAAATTTTCAGTTTATTTCAAGTAAAAACAGTTCCTTTTAAATTTTACAGTCATTGATGGACTTTGAAAAGACACGCTCCATCTCAACTTTTAGTTAGAATTCTGTTGAGGCCAGAAGGAGTTGTATTTCTTCCTTTTCAGGATATCAAAACAGAAATATCTAAAAAATGTATGTTGGCAATTTACTTTAAGATTTTGAAAGTCCATATATTAAAAATGTTTTTCATACATAAAGTTAATTATCTTGCAATTATATATATTATATAATACATAATATAATATTGTATATAATACACACACACACACATATATATATATGTAATAACTCTTATTTGGAGAACAACAGTGCTTTACCATCTCTTGTTAAGCTGATAGTCTATCTGTTCTCTTCTTATACTAAATCATGCCAAGCCACATCCTTACATAATAACCCAATAATATAACAAGTACATCTACTATTGCGACCATTTCCCTGTACCACCTCTATTTACAGTATGGTGGAGGCAAATGTCTTTCTTGGCTTGTTGTTGATTATTACCTGCCTTTTGAATGCTGGTGAGATTTCTCAAATGTTCATCCTTACAAACATGTCATCTTTCTGTGTTTTCATGGTGCTATTCAGAGCAGTACCGCTTGGCCACTTTGGAATTCGTAAGGAGAAGGGGTAGAATACAATTTTTTAGTCAATTTTATAAGACCTATTTGAAAAATTGAAAATGAAACTGATTATATACAAAATGACCATCTTAAAATTTTCTTGGCTAATAGAGATACTTGAAGGAGAAACTGTAATTTCTGCAGATCAAAGACTATCAACTGAAGAAGACAGCATTTGATTTTCATATTAATCACAAAGGTGTTCTTGGTTACAAGTCGGTGAAAAACACTGATTTGGTTGCTCTGTGTTTTGATGCTGTGATAAGGATTCCTCATTATTTATTTTTCAATATGAGAGAAACTACTTACCCTGACATTTTATATATATATGATATATTATATGTAAATATATATAATATGTAATATACTAAAATATATATTATATATCATACATATAAAATGTCAGAGTAGGTAGTTTTTCACATATTAAAGAAAGAATTCTTATCACAGTATGATATATAATATATGATATTATAACATATAGGATTATCTATAATATATATTATAAATATAATTTGTAAGTATATTATATCTTATAATATTATATATATATACACATATATATATACATACATACACACACACACACACACACACACACACACACACATCTATGTTTCCTGTGTTTTTTCTTTATTTTTTCTGGGGGGTAGAAGCAGGAGGGTAATGAATTATTACCTAATTTACCAAATGTATTTATCATTTTAAATTGCATTTTTGTTTCTAATTCTGGTACTGCACTATATTTTGAGATGCAATATAAATGAAAATTCAACATTATATCCATCCTGTAGGGCTTTGGTAATTCAGTAGGAGTGAGGGACAACGAGTCACAGTAATGGTGATTTCAAGCTGAGACACCTACCCTGAAGGGAGGAGTTTTGGCGATGCGAGGGCAGGGGACTAGCTTGACCTGGAAGTACTTGGTGGTCAGTGCTGGCAGAGCATGCAGTCCAAGAAGTATTTCCTGTGTGTGTGACACTACCTGAGAGCTACAATAGTTCACAATCAGGAACAGAAGCTTCCCCTGTAGATAGAGCATGTCCGTCAAGTAGGCATTTTTTTCTTTTACTCTCAAAGTAAAATTTGTTATAGATTTACCAGTAAATGCGGAGGCTGTGGTGTTTTCATCAAAATACATAGCCTGGAGATGACACCTTAATTTCAGAGTAGTGGTGAGTGTAAACATTGTTTCAAAATGCTTGTAACATAATGTGAAAATATCTGTAATTGTCCTTGGTAAGACACAAAGATACTGCCCATTCTTCTGTGGTTTGTTGTCTATATAATTGAAAGGAAAGCCACCTGTTAGTTAAAGCTGATTGAACATAAATGTGTAATTATTTTCCCCATTCGAGTTCATGAATCTTATGAATATCCACAGATGACTTCAGTGAAATAATCCTAATGGAGAAAGTTCAAGGGTCTCTTCTTGTTGCCTAAATGAAGAATATCCGCACTCTAAATTCCATCTCTAGACTCCTTAGCTTTACAGCGATCTCACAGGTACTAGCGTATTCTAAGCAGGGTCATTTATGTTTTCTTTTTTTTTATATATACTCAGAAGAGCAGAATCAAATGTGCAGATCCAATACCAGATGCCACTGAAACTTTTAAAAAATTGAAAAAAATACTTTTCTAGAAAAATTGCAGAAATCTAGTTTCCAAAATTTTCACATTAGAGGGGAGGCTTCAAGGTTATCTTTGACTTTCATTTAGGCATAATCAATGGGAAAACTACCTGGAGTTTCAAGAACAATGTAAGTTATCATGTCCTCTTTAGAGAATAATCATGTTTTATTCTTGAGGACAATTATGATGTGACATGCACACTAAAAACCTGAATGGAGATATTCATGATTAGAATCACATTTTCTGAGATCCTTTTAAGTGCTTCGTACTATGGAAGGTATTTTACACATTCTAAATCCCAAAGAATTGTGCAAGGTCAGAGAAATGAGCCCTAATTTATAAATGTGTAAACTGAGGCTTAAGTTTATCTGGCTCCTGTTGTGATTTTGATTTATATTTTCCCAGCGTTTAATAGAAGTCATGCCTCCCAGGCATTTGATTCTATAGAACATAGGACAGGCAATATCATAAAACTTCTTTTTTTGCAGAGAGTATTTTGGATGCAAAGGCCTCCTTAGGAACAAAGCTTTACTATGGTAGACTGCTAGAAATGTCTGGAAGCTGTTCTGTTTCTACCTTAGTGCCTTCAGTTAACCTCAAAGCTTCTTGAGTAATTAAAAACTGTTCTCCTGCTTTGTTGATGATGCATTTAAATTTATTTTGATTCAGTTGGAAGGCTTTGTGATGAATACCCTTATCTAACTTGTCACTATCTCCTAGATTTTGGGCTCCTGTGGCAAACTGTTACAGAGGCAGAATGTTGGAGTTAGTCTGGAATTTCTTTTTCCTGGTTATTCTCTGAGGTGTCCTTTTATGAGATTGACTGCATTGACCTGCTCATAAACGTAGTTGAACTGAGAGCTCTCATGAAGGGAAAGTTGTCTCTCTTTCTCTTTTTACGCACTCACTCTGAGCAGCTCCATCAAATTATTGTTTGACGCATTAAACTACAGCATCAAACTCTTGAGAGTTCAAAATGTCAATGAAAACCTTGTCTTGGGGCCCCCAAATGACGTATTTTATTTCATAATTATTATTTTCACCTGAATACCACTCTTCTTTATTTAACCAAACATATTAAACCCTATTGAAATATATTTCCGTTTCCGTAAATGTTCCTATCTACCTAGTCAAAAAAAATCATATATTAGGAATATTCTTTTGTTCTTTTTCACGTATCTCTGTCCTCCAAATATCTATCAACAATCCTGGCAGTTTTGCCAACAAATGATATTTCAACATGCTTGAATTCTCTCCATCTCAACTGTAGCATCTTATGTATTTATGCTATAATTTATTCATTTCAAGAAATGTTTCTATAGCACCTGCTAGGCATCAGATACTGTTCTAGCCACAAGGGCATAATACTAAACAAAAGCAAACTTTTGTTTTCTTGGAGAGTACAGTGGACATTATGGAATGCCTTCAATTTGTATAATGGATACCGGTAATTATTTTGAAGGGAACAATATATTCCAGTAACACTATGTTCTCTGTGTAGAGTTGTAGTGCTAATTACTCTGATTTCCTTGAACATAACAGGATAGAATCAAAGTCTCTTCTGGTCATCTAACTAACTTGGTTTAACATACGTCATAATGAGCTATTAGTAAGTGAAACAATGTAAACTACAGACATTCACAGTATTTATATTATTGTTTAAGGGATTACAGATCTTGACTTGCGTAATAACAATGCTCTACCCCAAATCCTTAAATTATATGCCATTTCGAAAACTGTCTTGGTTTAATACTCCTGTCCCCTTCAGTTACAACACAATTGTTTCAAAACAACGTGTACTGTTGCATGTTCTCAAAATACAATGTTAACAAAAAAAGGTTACAGAATTTCAAATGCCAGTCAATCTAGGAAATTGGCCAAGTTTCACTGTATGAGTTTAGAAAAACAGAATTAAGTTAGTCCAACTTTTGATAAAATCTAAGAAACATAGAGAAATTTCTCAACAGAATTGTTTTTTTTTCTATTTTGCCAAATCTGTGTTTCAACAACCATTAGGATTTTGATGAACATGCTTTTTTATTTTTTTTTTTTCATGAGAAGTACAGAAGCTAGCAGGCCGATAAGATAAAAGCAATATTGTCATTTAAAAATACTTTCTCTAAATTTTTTTCTATTAACTTTCAGAATAGTTTGATTAGTTCTGAAAATAATGGAGCAAACATTAAATTAATATTTAATGTATGATCAAAGAGATTTCACAATCTTAAAATAATTTATCCGTTTTGGAATTATGAAAATACAGGCATACCTTAGAGATATGGCAGATTAAGTTGCAGATAACAGGAGTTAAGCGAATATCACAATAAAGCATCACATAAATTTTTTGGCTTCTGAGTGCATATAAAAGTTGTGTTTACACTACAGTATAGTCTATTAGGTGTCCAACAGCATTATGTCTACAAAAACAATGTACCTATCTTAATTAAAAATACTTTAGAGTTAAAAAATGCTAATGATCATCTGAGGCTTCACAAGACGTAGTATTTTGCTGGTGGAGAGTCTGTCCTCATTGTTGATGACTGCTGACCGACGAGGGTGGTGGTGGCTGAAGGCTGGGGAGGCTGTTGCAATTTCTTAAGATACGACAACAGCAAACTTTGTTGCACCGATAGACTCTTCCTTTCAGGAGAGATTTCTCTGTAGCATGAGATTCTGTTTGTTACCATTTTACCCACAGTAGAAATTTAATAAAAACTAGAGTCAATTATCTCATTTCCTGCCACTGCTTTATCAATTAAGTTTAGGTTTTGTTCGAAGTCCTTTATTGTCATTTCAACAATGTTCACAGCATCTACAGTAGGAGTAGCCTCCATCTCAAGAAACCACACTGTCTGCCCATCATAAGAAGCAACTCCTTATCCATTCAGGTTTTATCATGAGTTCATAAAAATTTAGTCACATCTTCAGGCTCCACTTCTAATTCTAGTTCCTTTGCTATTTCCACCATGTCTGCAGTGACTTCCAAACAGTAAATGTTTTGAACTCCTCAAAGTTAGCCATGATAGTTGGATCAACTTCGTCCAATTCCTGTTAATATTGATGTTTTGACTTCCTCCCATGAATCAAGAATGTTTTTAATGACATTTAGATTTTGTCTAGAAAGTTTTCAATTTATTTTGCCCCAGTTCATCAGATGAATCAGTATGTCTGGCAGCTATAGCCTTTCAAAATGTATTTCTTAAATAATAAGACTGGAAAGTCAGAATTACTCCTTGATCCATGGGTTGCAGAATGAATATTGTGTTAGCTGACATGAAAACAGCATTAATCTCCTTGCATATCTTCACCAGAGATTTTAGGTGGTCAGGTGCACTGTCAATGAGAAGTATCATTGTAAAAGATTTTTTTTTTTTTTTTTTCCTGATCAGTAGGTCTCAACAGTGGGCTTAATCTATTCAGTAAGCCATACTGTAGACAGATGCACTGTCATCCTGGCTTTATTGTTGTATTTTATAGGGCACATGCAGAGTAGATTTAGCATAATTCTTATGAGCAGGAGGATTTTCTGAATGGTTAATTGGCACTGGCTTCACCATAAAGTTACCAGCTGCACTAGCCCCTAACAAAGAGGGTCGGCCTGTACTTTGAAGCTTTGAAACCAAACACTGACTTCTCTCTAGCTATGCACCTCTCAGGTGCCATTTTTGTCCAATGTAAAGCTCTTTGGTCTAAGTCAAAGCATCTGTTTAGCGTATTCTCCTTTATCGGTTCTCTTACATAGATTTTCTGGATAACTTGCTGCAGCTTCTACATCAGCACTTGCTGCATCAAACCTTGCACTTTTATGTTACTGAGATGGCTTCGTTTTTTAATCTCACAACCAATCTCTGCTAGCTTCAAACTTTTCTTCTGCAGCTTCATCACTTCTCTCAGCCTTCGTAGAATTGAAGAGAACTACGACCTCACTCTGGATTAGGCTGTGACTTAAGGGAATGTTGTGGTTGGTTTGATCTTCTACGCAGAGCACTAACACTTTCCTCTACATCAGCAACAAGGCTGTTTCCCTTTCTTATCATTCCTGTGTTTACTGGAGTATTATTTAATTTCCTTCAAAAAATTTTCCTTTGTATTTATAACTTGGCTAAGTATTTTGCACAAGAGAGCTACTTTCGGCTTATCTTAGCTTTCAGCATGATTTCCTCACTAAGCTTAATCATTTCTAGCTTTTGATTTAAAGTGAGAGATGTGTGACTCTTCCTTTCCCTAGAACATATAGAGGCCATTGTAGGGTTACTAATTTGTTTATTTTAATACTGCTGTGTCTCAGGGAACAGAGAGGCCCGGTGAGAGGGGAAGAGATGGGTGAATGGCCTGTCGGTGGAGCAGTGAGAACGCACACATTGATCAAATATGTTCGCTGCCTACTATGGGTGTGGTTCATGGCACCCCAAAATAACGACAGCAGTAACATCAAAGATCACAGATCATCATAACAGATATAATAATTGTGAAAAACTTTCAAATATTACAAAAATGACCAAGGTGTGACAGAGAGACACAACGTGAGTTTATGCTGTTGAAAAAATGGGACTGATACATTTGCTAATTCAGGGTTACACACGACTCCGATTTGCAAAAGATGCAGTATCTGCAAAGCAAAATAAGGCAATGTGCAATAAAACAAGATATGCCTGTATCTGAAATTTAGTTTTTATCTATACGTCACAACATGAAGTTTTATTTTAATTAATAGTTTGGAGCTTTGCACTGCCCTAATGAAGATTATATTTCCCAAAATGCACTGGACATTGATATGCATCCAATCATTAAAAGTTCTTCATATAATAAGCATTTTCATTTTTGTTTGCATACTTATTTCAATAATTTCTTTATGCATTAGTTCTTGCATCGAGCAATTTGTTAACCTTCATAGGGTATATTTTCAGGGTAATATATATTTTTAAAGAACTGCATAAATTCCAACCACTTCCACTTATAAGAAAATATAACTTTCCCAATTATTCAACTTTTCTCAAAAGTGAAAATTTGGCATAAGTTCAGCAGCACTGCATGACTCAGCATATCAACATCAAAATGTGAAACAGCACTTCTCCCCCTCCTTGAAATTCTTAAGTATAACTTAAGGAAAACTCTTCGTATTTATCTTTTAGGTTTCCTGCAATGCCCAGTGAAATGCCTAGGCATTTTACAAATATCTTTTGAATGAATGAATGAATGAATGCAACTGTAGCTCACTGCAGTGTTGTTACGTGTAGTTACACTAAACAGTGACTTTTGTTTGCTTTGTTTAATGTGCATGGCAGCATTTTGAGTGATGAGAGAAGGGTACGTATGATCTATGACTTGTAAACACTTGACAATTGCTAAAGCGCAACATGGTTTATGATATGCCAGGAGATTGGACATTATATGGTCAACTTCCTCTGTTTTAGCATTGTTTGTTTTGGACTTTGCGTAATGACCAACAAATTAAGCATACTCAAGTATAAACAGTTTTCTTGCTAATTAGTATCAATTATGTTTTTTTCCCATTTTAGAACTCTCATTTTCTTTTCAAATTTTGATGAACAGGAATTATATTATTACATTTTCCAGAGCTGTGCCCCGGCAACAAGATATTTTATCTTTTTCCCAAATTTAGTGAACGCCAAGGTGTTAGATGTGGTGAAAAGAAAGCCATTTAGTGCTCTGCTCCCCCTCCTGGCTGAGTTTCATATTACAGCTTGAGTTTCCGTGTGTGTAAGTTTCATCACACAGTTTGAGTATTGCAGTTTCCATTGTAAAGTGATGTAACAGAAATTTCTAATTTATATGTGTATCCATAATTTTCTGTTAACATCCTGTTTGTGTTGAGATCCTTCTTTCATTTAAAATATACTTCATTATTATAGTAGATTTGTTTGGATCCTGATTCAAACAAACCAGTGTTAAAATAGCATAATACTAGAAATCTTAAAAAAAATGTAATTATGGAATGGGTAAAAATAAATTATTGTTGACTTTATTAATTTAATACATATATTATGGTTATATAAGAAGATGTCCAATTTTTGTAAATGTATGTTGATGTATGCAGGACTAGGATGACATAATATCTGTTATTTGCTTCAAAGTACCCTATTTAAAAAGTATATTTAAAGGTTGCTTTCATAGAGGTAGAGAGTAGGATGGTGACAGAAGCAGGAAAGGGTAGGAGAAAGAGGGGGAGAGTGAGAGGTTGGCTAGCAGATACAACGTTGAAGCCAGGTAGGAGGATTAAGCTATAATGTTCTCCAGCACTATAGTGTAACTAGAGTGAGCAACTTGTTGTATATATTCAACTAGCTAGAAGAGAATATTTGGAATACTCTCAACACAAAAATGATAAATGTTTGAGGCTATGGATTTACTAATTACCCTTATTTGATCATAAAATCTTATACCCATGTATCAAAATATCACACTGTACCCCATAAATATGTACAATTATTTTGTGCCAATTAAAAATAATTACTGGGATCTATGTACAACGCCATGATTGTAGTTAACAATATTGTATTGTATAGTTGAAAACTGCTAAGACACAGATTTTAAGTCTTCTCACCGTACCAAAGAAAAAGTTAATTATGTGAAGTAATAGATGTATTAATTAATTTGATTATGGTGATCATTTCACAATGTCTACAGAGCATATATATATCTCAAAATATTGAGTTGTATAGCTTAAATACATACAATTTTTATTTGGCAATAATATGTCAATAAAGTCATTAGTAGAGAAAATAATAACTAAAAATATCTGATCATTTTTAATTGGATATATGGATCAAATATAATAAAATGTTGAAGTCATTGTTCAAAATTTTGAAAAAAAATTTGAGTCAGCGTGATAGACAGATGGGAGTCATTATGCTATTCACTCGACTTTTTTACATATCTGATTTTTTTTTTCCGAAATTAAGTTTTAAAATATTTCTTGATTGTGATGACGAAGAAAGCTTCCACAACTATTCCCAAGCAGAAATAATATTCACGACATTTGGGACTGAGGAAAGTGATTGAACTATTACTAAAGTTGAGACTGTGAAAAACACAAACAACACAGTTATTGTCTCAGATTTATGGTAATGTCGATAATTCAGCAGATTTTAAATGCCCAGGGCCTCAATCATTACCCCCATTGGCAACTCCTTTCAAAGCTCAATGAGAGCAGAGGTGAGCCCTGCTTCTGAGCAAGGAGGAAGAGGAAGGAGCGTGAGCCGTGGCCCGGCATTCACAGGGAAGGACCTTGCGGCCATAGGGAAGTGACTGTACCAAACCCGATGAAGAGCCCTGCTGGAGCTGGGCTTGAAATTACGGTGCCCTTTTCCTATTTATCTCCCTCCAGCATATATGTATTCGTTTTCATATTAAACACTTTGAAAGGTAAACACACTTACCGTTGCATTACGTTCATTTAAACAAATCCATGCCAACAAAAATCCTCCTGAAAGTCAAGGGCCCTTTAGGACCAAAATGCGGATTAGAAGCAACATTGCTTTAAAAGATGATGAAGCAGATGATTCAAACAGCCACACGTACTAGGGGCTTAGCATACCAGGGATGATGGTAAGCGCGCCTTTCACTAGGTCACCACATGCTTACCGCAAACCTGTGCTTAAGTCCTGGTGCCAGGTCCCATTTTCCAGGAGAGAACAATGAAGCCTAGAGAGGTGCAGTGACTTGCCCAGGTCCTCACACCTGATGAGCAGGGAAGGTAACCTCAGGGCAGGCCGGATCAGTCCACGGTCAGGGCGTGAGCTGGGAGCCAACACACTAGAATGCTTTTGGATTAAGAGGGTGGAACAATGTTGCAATGCTGGAACAATGATGCGGGTTGCCCTGCCAAGTCTCACCAGCCAATACTAGTTATGTTTTGTGTTTTCTTTTTTACCCTTTTTTTGTAAATAAATCTCTGCATTTAATCACATCGCTGAATCACGTTTTTGCTGGTAACTGCTGGTTATTTTTTTTGTAGGGGGGGAGTTTGGTTGCAAATGTGCATGGTTACTCCCTATTTTATTACAGTCCATATTATTTTTCTGTCTTAAGCATCGCCCTCAACAATTCTGTATTGAATAGAATCCATCTCACAGAGAATCAACCTCACAAAGCCCCTTCTCAAGCCACAGAGGTCTCTGTTAGATTTACTTAGCCAAAGCCAGCTGGAAAAAATTTCTCTTCTTCTGTGATAAGTAAGTACATTGATGTAGAAGCTACTTTTCAGGATAAAATAGCTACACTTTTTAAAGTGCCTCATACATCTAAAAGCCTGTGTGTCCATAACTTGCATAGGCTTTAATTAGAGTTATATTTGGAAGAACCGGAGGACATATTTTAATTAAATACCTTAAAAATATTTCTTATTACTCTGTAGCAGTCCCACATAAGTCCTCAGGTACTGTATTTATTTTATTACATAAAAGTCAGGAAACGGAGGAGCAAATTACTAGAGCAATAAAGTGGTGGGTAACAAATGCTAAACTCCACTTCTTTTGTTCCCGTTAACAGAAGCTAAGTGAAGAGTATGCAAGTCTCTATGTACTATTTTTGCAACGTTCTGTGAGCCTATAATTATTTCAAAATTAAAAAGTTTTAATATGCTGCTTTTGAAAAAAAATCATGAATTTAAAGGTAAAGAAATTTAGGTCAATAAAGCAGAGTTAATATTTCAGTTTTACAAAGCTCAGTGTAAATAACAGAAAAAATAACAGAAAAAAAAAAAAAACACAAAAAGCAGTATCCCAAAGCAAGTTTATGTTAAGACCCAGCACTATGATACTATTACACCATACTTTATATCATACTTTTTTTTTCTAATTAACAAATGAAATGAATAGAAGTTTCTGAATGGAGAAATACGCCTGTGAAAAATGTGTGGTAAGTTTTATCGTATGAAAAGTTTAACTCTTTTTTCAAAGAAAGTAAAAAAGTTTATTTTCATGTAATAGAAATTATGGTTTTAAAAAAGCTTTTTGTATGTGTGGTGTGTGTGTGTGTGTGTGTGTGTATACGTGTGTATGTGTGTGTGCGTGTCTTTGGGGCAGAGAGGTAACTGACAAAATAACTAGAACTGAATGGGGGTCTATTGAGATTTGGGGTCGGGCGCGGTGGCTCCCGCCTGTAATCCCAGCACTTTGAGAAGCCGAGGCAGGTGGATCACCTGAGGTCAGCAGTTCAAGACCAACATGGTCAACATGCTGAAACCGTGTCTCTACTAAAAAAAAAAAAAAAAAAAAAAAAAAAAAAAAAAAAAAAATTAGCTGGGCGTGGTGGCATGTGCCTGTAATCCCAGCTACTCGGGAGGCTGAAGCAGGAGAATCACTTGAACCCGGGAGGCAGAGGTTGCAGTGAGCTGAGATCATTCCATTGCCCTCCAGCCTGGGCAATAAGAATGAGACTCAGTCTCAAAAACAAAAAAAAAAAAAAAAAATAGGATTTGGGCTGTGAGGCAATTTCTTCAGAAGGATCAATTTAGAACTCCCTGTTGATGGTAGTTTTATCTCCATTTCAAATGCACAGAGTAGTTTAATCCTCTTCTCTGTTTTCTAAAATACTTGAAAAAACAAACAAGAAAAATACAAAGCAAATCCTTTCTTTATTTCAAGTGATTTTTTTTCCCTTAAAACATAGAAGGGTAAAAAGGGCTTGTTAGCCTAGTGTTAAGAGAATGATGAAGTCTTCAGAAACTTTTTCCTTTGATGTTCTCCAATTAAATACTTTTGCCTGCTTAATCTTTTAATGTCAGAGAGATAGGGATTTTTCTGATCAACACAGGAAGGGGCCATGAGGACAGAGGAATATCTAAGGCTAACTCATCATCCTTTGAGGATGAAAATGTCTCCTAGGTAAGTAATTGGGATGTTTTTGTGATAACTAGAAAATGTTATAAGAGTAGCTGATAAATTTACTTGATGATCATCTTTTCTTAGTTCATCTACTAAGGGAAAAGGCTTTCCAGCCCTAAGAATTTCATGAGAAAAGGCAAGAACAAAGCAAATACAAATCTAAATGACTCTCTGGTAGCAGTATGACGTTTTGACTTTGAAGTGGCTGCGGAGTTGAAATATCAGCTCTACCCTTTAACAGCTGTTTGTCTTGGACAAGTCATGTGACTTCTCCAAGACTCAATGCCCTTCACTATGAAATGAGAATAATGGTAGTGCCTGTACCCCTGGGTTTTGTATTAAATGAATTAATACATGTAAAGTACTTACTTAGCAGAATATCTGGCACATAGTAAGTTCTCAATCATTATTAATCTATGTTTTCATGATGTATTTGTTGTAGCAAGTACTAAATTATCTGATGTTATGGTATGCAGATGTTGAGCTGTTAGTTCTTTTATATTCTGAATACAATTAGTCATTTGCCTAATTTCCTCACTTTCCTGTTTTAGGAAAAGACTCTTCCTTTTTCAGCGTAAGGTTTATGGAAAATTAAGAGAATACCAGGCCGGGCGCGGTGGCTCACGCCTGTAATCCCAGCACTTTGGGAGGCCGAGGCGGGTGGATCATGAGGTCAGGAGATCGAGACCATCCTGGCTAACAAGGTGAAACCCCGTCTCTACTAAAAATACAAAAAATTAGCCGGGCGCGGTGGTGGGCGCCTGTAGTCCCAGCTACTCGGGAGGCTGAGGCAGGAGAATGGCGTGAACCCGGGAAGCGGAGCTTGCAGTGAGCCGAGATTGCGCCACTGCAGTCCGCAGTCCGGCCTGGGCGACAGAGCGAGACTCCGTCTCAAAAAAAAAAAAAAAAAAAAAGAGAGAGAATACCAGCTCCATTTCACCTGCTGGCGAAACACTATTGCACCTTTTTGCCTTTTATTTTTCTCCCTAGTATTATCTAATAGTCTATACATTTTTACCTGAAGGGAAAGTACTTGACATCAGAAGTTTTGTCTATTTTATTTATACTTCTGCAGGACCATAGCAGGCACCCAACAAATACTTTTTGAATTGGTGTTGTATGAAAGAGCAATTTGTGGGGCACGGGTTAGTTTTTGGACAACTTGTTCATCCATGGGAGGGATACTTTTAAGCATCAAATGAGAGATATCTCACCCATTTCCTTTTTATCTACCTTTTCCTTCTTTCTTACATTCAGGCAATGATAAACCAAATCCCTCGTCCAATACCATCTTTGTGAACTAACACCATTCTGCCCAAAATGAATTTTAAAAAGTTAATTATGGAAACATAAAACTCGAAGCCTTTTATTCAAATGACTGTCACTAAGATCAATCCTGAATTATACAGGGATTTTTTTGTAAAGTATTAGGCTATGAGAGAAGATCTGAGGCATCAACCTTTTCACAAAATCTCAAAAAATAAGTCAAGAATTCTCAACAACAGGGCTGTGCTGTAATGTTTTTCCTTTACTTCAATTTCTGTTAAATGTTCACTTGCACACATTTGTATGCTGGTCACTAGAGAAGGGAGTTGCAGAAAACATACTATTATTTGACACATATTTATTGAACGCATATAATATAACGGAATGCAAGGTGGTTGTCGAAGACTTAAGAGCAAGCAAGAAATAACCTGTCCTTCCTCAGAGCTTACAGTCAAGGCAACTTCCCCAGACCAGTTTTTAGGATGTGTGTGTTTTAACTTGTTACTATATGAAGAAAACACAATTAAAATGATCTGGTATTATGATAAGTGTACTCTGAAATCAGACCTTTAGTGAACCCCACTATCAGTTCCCAATCGCTCCTAAACGAGGGAAGTTGAGGACCCTTAATTCTGTGGCCACCAGCATTGCACTCTCTTCTCTTTGCACTGCCTCCATCCTGGTCCTCTTCTGTTAGACGTGCACGACTTTAATCCCACATGGTTGCTTCTGCTCTATTCCTAGCTCAGAGCTCACCCTATCGGAACTGAGTCTTTATTAATGGATTTTTATGAAAGTCTTTTTTTTTTCCTTTGAATATCCTCTGCACATTGCTGGTCATGGCCATATCAAACCGAAGGTCTCCTCTTTGACTCCTCAACTGGAGCAGTAAGTGGTTGCTCCTCTAAGACATTAGTATAATACAGCAGGGCTCAATTCCTTCCAGCAGAGAGACTCTTGCTCTAATGGGAAGCTAGAATATAAAATGTGAAGTAGCCCAGAAAAAACACAAAGTATGGGAGGCTGCTGCCAGGAATGACCCCATTAATCTGCTTAAAAGTAATCACTTGATCTGTGATTAATCTTCCTCATCTATAAGACGATGCTAATGAAAATTTTGTGCAGAACAAAACAGAGAACATATTTTGTAAAAATCTATTCACCAAGGTATCATGCAAAGGTGGTTATTAACTTCACAAATAAATCCATATTCTTCTCAGTTTCCACTGATTCTCCTGTGATATATTACTTTAAATCATAAAGCTTAGTCAGCTTTTAAAACTGGCAGACAGGTCTCTATCTATATCCAGGATCAACTGTATAAAAACATAAAAATGTGAAATAGTCAGTTGAGTTGAATTCAACAAGAAATGAAAAGTTATCTTCTTGAGTGGCAAAATAATACTACTGTCCACTTGTGATATCTGCTATCTATTACCATGAGAATAAGGTTTCTTTTAGTGTGTTCACTTTTTTTTTCATAATAAAAGAGTTAAACCTGAAATATTAGTAGGGAAAGATAACACAGTATCTTAACTTCTCAAAAAATGTATAAAAGTTTTAGGTGATTTACAGAGAGCAGATTTTGAGAAGGGAAATATGAAATCTATCATGAGGACATCTGAAAGCATAGGTTGAGGGAGAAAGGAGAAAGAATGCGGTATAAAGGTGCAGGGTCTAAAGTCATAGCCTTATCAAAGAAGAGTGCAGCAAAAGCCACCTCCGGAGGCAGCCACCATCCTGGTCTCTAACTTCCTTTAAGTCTTGGAACTAATTCCCACCTCTGGTAATCTGCTCCTTCGCTAGGCTTCACCTCACTCTCTGGTTTCTCCCACTGCTTTATCAGAAGAAAACCGTTACACTCAAAATCATGAGTTCCTTCAGGATTTACACATTCCTTCAAACTGTATCTGAAGGTCTGCAAAACATCAGGCACTGGACTAGGTGCCAGAGACCCTGAGACAAGCTAAACAGAAATGATTCCTGTCTTGAAGCATGAAGTCTAGCAGGAGAAACTGATGCTCGTATTCTCAACGAATAATTAGCAGGTAATTGATATGTGTCAGGACTTGACCTGCATCAACTCTTTTTCATTGTCATAATAGCTTCATGAGTAATGACATTATTATCATCATCAGGTAAGCAAACTGAACCCAAAGGCATTGAACAACTCGCCCAAATTTATATTGCTACTAAGCAAAAAGTCCAAAGTCCAAGCAGTCTGTGGTCTTAATCTGTTCCATAGCACTTCAGTTTTAAAATAAATAGTAATTGAATTACCTCACAAATGTATATAATATGGCATGTTTTCTTTTGCAAGAAAAGTGTTAAGGACTTTACTGTAGATAGTCTTACTTTGATTTAAGTATCATTTTAATTTGCAAAGTGATTTTACATGTGATTTACTATTGAATCTGTACAAACACCTTATCTTGTAAGAGAGGTTTTTTAATTTCCTTACTACATGCAAAGATATCATAAGGGAGGATTTATGAATCACAACACACACGGCAAATCGAGAAAGGTTGTTTTCTGACATTAAATCTTCAATCCATCATTGGTAGATTTTATATAGCCATGTCTTTAATTTCCAGATATTAGTTGTGTTATGCCAATACTAGATGAATTACATGCAAAAGAAGCCATGAGTATATCTGAGGATGAATCTTTATGAGAAAAGTAACTGCAGGCAGAGGAAGAATATGCAATGAGCCTTGAAAAGGACTAGCTTAGTATGTTAGCATAGTGTGCATTTGCAACTCTTGTCTTGAGCTTCTATTCTAAATATAAAAATGGCAAACCATAAAAAGCCTTTAATAACTACTGATATGGTTTGGCTCAGTGTCCCTACCCAAATCTCATCTTGTAGCTCCCATAATGCCCATGTGTTGTGGGAAGGACCAGGTCGGAGATGACTGAATCATGGGGTGGGTCTTTCCCATGCAGTTCTTGTGATAGTGAATGGGTCTCACGAGATCTGAGGGTTTTAAAAATGGGAGTTTCCCTGCACAAGCTCTCTCTTTGTCTGCTGCCATCCTCGTAAGATGTGACTTGCTTCTCCTTGCCTTCCACCATAATTGTGAGGCCTCCCCAGCCATGTAGCACTGTGAGTCCAATTAAACATCTTTCTTTTGTAAATCACCCAGTCTCGGGTATGTCTTTATCAGCAGCATGAAAACAGACTAATACAACTGCTGTCATTAATGAATGGTATTGAGCAAGTGTCATTGATAATCAAGAAAAGAGAAACTAGAAGAGAGGAAGAGAGGGAGAAAAAAGAAAAAAAGAAACAAAATTATCCTGCCCAGACTCGTATTGCTGACCTTACAATCAAAACTCACTAAACATGTAGCTTCCAAAGCACACAAATCAGGTGAAGTGACAGGAAATCCCATAGAAATATCTACTTTGCGTAAACATTCAAGAACCACTTCAGCAACTGTCCCGCTGTGTCAAGTAGACAGGGTTATTTTCGTCACCTTTTTTTCAAAACATGTTTATTAAAGTAGACATTATATTTTATTCTTGCAATTATTTCAGAATTATCCATTTACATACAGGTTGATAGCCTTCAGGAAACACATTTTTCTCATTAAATTAAATGCATTCCAAACAGTATTTCCATGTAATATAGTTCAAGAAAAAAATATTGAGCAAATACTATGTGCCAGACCCTAAGGGTAAAAAGAAAAACATCATTCATATCCACTAGGAGTTCACAGCTAGGAAAATTAATAAGCAAACGTACATTTTTCTGCAATATGATGAGAACTAGGAGCAAGAGGAAGATTGTCTTAGGAGCACTTTGCTTGTCAAAGTGTAATGGTCACAAGCAGTGGAAAGAAGAGAAAATGGTCTGGAAAATCTCCTACAGAGAAAGCTGGGCTGAGACATGAAGGAGGAGTTGACACGTTTGCCTGGTGAGGAAAGGAATTGGTGTAGGGTGTGTTGAATGGCCAAAGCTCTGGGTTGGGGCAATAGCAGGTACAGGGCACATGGCAAAATTTTGTGTGGAAGATCAGTGAGGATCAATGTCTGCAAAGCAAAGTCAGTACATGCCATGCTGAAAACGTTTAGTAGGATTTTGGGAGGAAATTTGGAGAAGAATAACTTAAATTTGCCAGTGAAATGGCAAGGTGTTTAAGATATCACTGCGAAATTACTAAAGATAAAAGATGAGAGTTACATAAAAACCACGTATCAGTAAAGAGCTTTCAGCTGCACTTAAGCAAAAATTCTGCCTGGCATCAGGTTAAACAAAAAGAAAGAAATGATATAACCTGGTAGGATGATTGGCTGGGCAGTATGATCAGTGCCCTGTAGTTCCTTTTCTTTTCTTTGTCTCTGGGGGCATCAGCTTTGTCTTCAGACTGCTTGTCTTCCTGTTGCAATCGGTGTGAAATACCAGTATCCACATCCATGTTCAGAGGGAGAGGGAGACACCTCTCCCATGAACCTAGAATAGAAACCACGTCTTCTGGGCTCATTACCTTGAGACTATCAAGAGTTTTCAGAATAGTGCTCTGTGCTGAACATCTTATGCTTGGATTCCTGGCCAACTGTGGTAAAAGGAAAACAATCATCATCATTGGCTCAGACAACTGGAACTGAATCCTGCACCTGGCAGGGAGGAGAGGCTCCATAACCACATGGATTCCACGGGCTATAGAACAAATCAAAGTTCTGTTAAAAAGGCAGAAAAAGGATGGTTGGTAGAAAGCAAAGAGTGGCCAGTTAAGTCTGTAACTAATGTATATATGTGTGTGTGTGTATATATATATAATATATATAAAGGGTTAGGGTTATGATACATATATATATAATAACATTATATATAAATACAGTCCACAATTACTGGTTAGTTGTAGGCATTATATATATATATATACACACACACACACACACACATATATACACATGCAATCTGCAATTACAGTATTAGTATTTAGTTGGTATAATATGTATAGTCATATATATATATATATATACAATTTGTAACTAACTGTAACTAACTATATGCGTACAGAGAGAGAGAAAGAGACTTCATATATATGTATTGGTTAGTTATCTAACATATATATTTACATATATATGCAGTCTGCAGTTATTATTTTGTTAGTACAATTTATATAGTCTTATATATGTGCAGTGCATAACTGAGTTTAGTTTGTTAGTTCATTGTGATATATCTACATGTGTATGTGTGTGTGTGTGTGTGTGCAAGACTATATTTGCAAAATAAATTGTGTGTGTATACATATTTGTAATCAATCGTGATGTTCCCGTATGAACAGAACCTCTTAAATAATTTTCTTTCTTTGTTTGGCAGGGAAATCTTCTGTCACAAAAGAAGCTTCATTATCCCCTTGTATTTGCCATTTTTCTCAGTGACTTTTCATTTTATATTTTCACTCTCAGGGACAGGAGCCTTAATGCAAGCAAATTTACTCATCAGTACTGTCATGGGCTCCACAAAACCTGCCCTGAGAGAAAGAATCTATTACGTCTCTTTCCACAAGTTTACTGTTTGGTATTCCTAATTCTTGTTGCATACTTTCATCCAAGCTGTGGGTGCTTTACACAGTTTTCATTTTCATCATTGAAACTTGGAGATCTGACAACATTTTAGTGTTTTCTCACCGGGAGCTTAGGAGAGTCTGGTCAGTAGAGATCTAATATTAGAATGTTTTTATGATATAACTGAGCTTGGGAAGAATGAAAGGCGGTAGAAAGCCGGCACAGGTGACTACACCTGCGAGATGGGAAAATGGCAGCTAACAAACCCTGGTCATTCTTGACCCATTGTTAATTTGAATGTCTATGTTTTTTTTTTTTCTTTTTTTTTCTTTTCCTGAAAGTGGTATGTCTCACAGTCACTTGGCTAAAATCTACTTCGCTCTCTCCCTACCCACCTACAAAAGGCTTCAGAGGGACATGCCTATGGATTTCCATATTGATGTAATGAGCTGATCACAAAGAGATTAGGGCCATATTTGACTATATTGCAAAATCAACTGCAAGACAAATTTCAACTGCTTGAACTGATGTCAAGCAGTGAAGTTAGCCAAGTCACATCCGCATGGTTAGCCAAACCACACCAAGGTTGTTCCCCAGGGCTAGAAGCTGGTTACATTCAACCCTCATAAACACAATGAACATATTTCTAGATTTATTTTAGCTGTGGCTGAGTTCATGGGGAGAAAAGAAAAATTAAAAAAACACGAGAAAACATTCCTTGTGAAATCCCACAGAAGACCTAACTGACTCCTTCTTTAACTTTGGTATGGAAGATAGCATTTTAATTAACCTCAGAATGCATCTATTACATCTGAATGTGGCAAAAAGCTACGTTTTGAATGTATCACATTTTGAAAATTTGTTAGCATTTTATACATTCTGTAAAAATTATAAAATGTATTTTGTCTGTGATTATATATTCAGAAACATTGAAGTAGTGTCTCTCTAGAAAATTCATTTAGACTTAAGGATTTTGCTTATTGAGCAAATCCACCCACATTGTGAGCAGTGGAGTGTATCCATCTGCATGTAACAGTTTCACTGTCACTGAGGAAGAAAAGAACTTACTCAGACTTATATTTGGTAAAGTAGCAGTTAAGCATATGGATAGATCAAATTACAAAGTAATAGGACTTAGGACGATAGAAACCTTAAAGAGTTCATTTGATCCTGACCTCCGCCTTTAGGTTGGAGCATATTCTGTTTGGATAAACCAAGGACCTCCAAGGAGGAATCCGAGGATAATCAGTAATATTTTGAGACAAGTATTTCCTATCCTAATTTTAAGTTGACATTTCTCATATATGAACCCCAAATCCTTCATGTAGGAGCTGTAAGGTCCCTTCCCCTTTGATACGATACCAACCTAAGTCTTTGGTTCTTAACCATTTTTGTGCCACAAACCTCTTTGGAAATCTGATGACTCACACTCTTAGAATATAAATTTTAAATATAAAATTTTAAAAATGCAGTTTTCAATATATTGCTCGAAATTATACACTATTATATATAATAATTTTAGTATATATTAGTATATAATTATTTTATACTAAATATATAATATACTAGATAATTATTACTATATAATTATATACTAAGTATATAGTTATATGTTTATATGTTATTTATTACTATATTATATATATTTATTACTATATATTTAGTACTTAATATATAGTATTATATTAAATAATATTATATATACTAAATATATAATAATTATATAGTATATGATTATATGGTAATATTTAGTGTATAATTACATATTTAGTATAGATTTGTATATGTTAATCATTAGTATATGTTAGTATATGATTAACATATATTAATATATGTTAATCATTAGTATATATTAGTATATGTTAATCCATATACTAGTATGTGTTAATCATCACTACATGTTAGTATATGTTAATCATCATGATTAGCATATACTAACATGTAGTGATGATTAACAGGAGAGGCATCTCTGATTATGTCATCAAGAGAAGTCACAGATTTTTTCCCATTATGTCATAATTACCACACATGGCTAGATTAGTATATGTTAATCCATATACTAATATATACTAATGATTAACATACACTAATGTATACTAAAACTAATATATACTAAATAACATATAGCAGCAGTTCAATAACTACTACAATAATTGTTAGTTGTTAATGAAATTTCTAGCCATGTGTGGTAATTATGACATAATAGGAAAAATCTGTGACTTCTCTTGATGACACAATCAGAGATGCCTCTCCTGTCACTCTAATTTGTTGTCCACATTGATATTTAAAGCATGCTAAATTTCAGCAGGAGATCATGTATATAAAGACTAGAGAGGCACGGTCTTCCTGCCTACATGCACACGCTCCCTCGGTTAAAGATCTTCTGATACTGGTAAAGAAGTGTGGCTGCTGTCCTTTGTGTGTGTGGTTTGATTTACTTAAAAAAGTTTGGCCGGGCGCGGTGGCTCACGCCTGTAATCCCAGCACTTTGGGAGGCCGAGGCGGGTGGATCATGAGGTCAGGAGATCGAGACCATCCTGGCTAACAAGGTGAAACCCCGTCTCTACTAAAAATACAAAAAATTAGCCGGGCGCGGTGGCGGGCGCCTGTAGTCCCAGCTACTCGGGAGGCTGAGGCAGGAGAATGGCGTGAACCCGGGAAGCGGAGCTTGCAGTGAGCCGAGATTGCGCCACTGCAGTCCGCAGTCCGGCCTGGGCGACAGAGCGAGACTCCGTCTCAAAAAAAAAAAAAAAAAAAAAAAAAAAAAAAAAAAAGTTTATAAAATAGAATCTTGGTTAAGGCTGTTTTGTGGGAGACGATAAGACACGCTTCAAATGAATTGCAAGTTAATGAGATGTTTTATTGAGACAACGCTGGAGAATGTTACAAAATCCTACCGAAGAGGTGTTCTCCACACTGGCCTCAGGGAAGGCAGAATGAGCCCAGCCAGAAGTCTGAGAGGCCAGTGGACATGGACCGTCACTCCCAGCCTGTGCCTGTGGCTTCCAGCTTCCGGACTCCTTCTCTCTAACCACAATCTCCATCTCCATCTCTTCAGACACCGCTTCTGATCTCCTCCCTCCAGCACATCAGTTTCTATCTGCATTTCTCTGGCTTCCAATGATTATCTCCATCACTCACACCAGTTTTTGGAGAGAGGGGACATCATGGCCCAGTGAACCCATCCCAACAGAAGTCTCTGTTCACCCTTCAGTGCCCAGGAAAGCAGGACTTCACATTGGAAGACTAGATTTTGGAATTCCCCCACAGTTTGGTGAAGTATACACATTTTGGGGAAAGAAAATTCTTACGGAATCCCTAGATTTGAACAAATTGCACATTAATAAGAAATGCACAGAGAGTTTTCTCTGATGTAACCGATGTAATCTGGCTCAGGACAAAGTAGGTTAGCTTGAATTTTAGCCAAACAGCCTTGAGTTAGAATACAGTAAAAGTATGTAACATACAATGCAGGCTCCAAGGCGTTTGCACAATTCCAGGCACAAAGCAATTGCGAGGAGAATGTACGGGTGTCATTAGAAATTATTTTATTTGGTGAATGACCTTAATTCTGGGAGGATAATCCTGGTCTGTCACAAGTTTAGACTCCCTGATGTGAGAGAAAGTACTGAACCTGAGGATTAAGAAATAAACATCACGCAGCAACTCTTATGGTCTTATGGACACCAATATTCAGATAAGACTCATGACTTCTCTTAAATATTGAAAAGTTTACTACATTGGTTAGGTTATGGTAGATTTATATTGAATTAATAGAGTCGATGTGTGTTTGTGTGTGTGTTTGTGTGCATATGTATAAAACAGTGCCATATTATGAGTTGTGTCTAAACTGATTGTGTTATCTGAAAAAGTAATAAGTGAATCTGCTTATTTTTGTTCTACGGGCTATAACAGAGCTAGTTTGTGCTTCATTATACCCATGTGATGCTAGTCACTGTAGAAGCAGATAATTATAAACTTGGCAGTGTTGTTAATATGCTTAAATATCTAAATTTGGGTCCCACTAGGTAGGAGAGATAGGTTTCACATTGAAGCATACCTCACATAGCATATTCAGAGAGTAAGAGAACACTGCAGTTTTCTGATTTGCTTCTCTTTTACACCCTATGTGGTTCTCAGAAAAAAAATGTTTTAATTCTTTTTATTCATTTATTTATTTATAGACAGAGTCTTGCCCTGTTACCCAGGCTGGAGTGCAGTGGCATGGTCTCAGCTCACAGCAACATCCACCCCCCAGGTTAAAGTGATTCTCCTGCCTCAGCTTCCAGAGCAGCTGGGATTATAGGCGTGCACCACCATGCCTGAGTCATTTTTGTATTTTTGTTAGCAATGGGGTTTCGCCATGTTGGCTCTACTGGATTTCAACTCCTGAAATCAAGTGATCTATCCACTTTGGCCTCCCAAAGTGCTAGGATTACAGGTGTGAGCCACCGTGCCCAGCCCTAGGTTCACTAATTTTAGACAACTTATTCCTGTATGTTGTCTCTGGCAATTACCTACAATTTCATTAAACATTCAAATATTTAAGCCCTCCTTGAGATCTGGTAATTGAAATTACTAGAGAATGAGATTGGGAAACCATATTTTTAAGGAACTACCCAGTGTTCTTACACCCAAGAAAGTTGGGAAACACCATAGTAGAACAAGCCTGGTGGGTTCAGAGGTATGGAGAAGAGCAGGATAAAGACCTACTGAATCTGCCAGAACAAGGAACCACAAACTTTAAAAGCACAGAAAGCCAGAGTACATCCTGACCTAATCTTGAAAAAGTAATGTCATCAGCGTATGCATCAAGACCCATAGACCTAATACCAGTTTGAAGGAAAGGTAACAGATCCCAAGGAGGAACAAAAACAACAACAAGGAAACACAGCTTCAGCAAGGCATGCTATATATTCAACGCAAGAAATGAGCAGGATAATAGTCACAACCAAAATTTGCTCCATAATTTTGAAGGCTCTGGGTGAAATGAAAATGCAGGACCCTTGTTCAAAGGTTGTGAATTTCAACACAGCAATAGGGGTGCACAGTAGATGGAGCGTGGAAGCGGAAGCCTGCAGAACCCGGGGACCTACGTGGCTGCACAGAGGCATGACCACAGTGACAGCCTGCTGAGAGCACTCACCTGTCAGATAAGGAGTAGCCAAAACATCTAGAGTAATTTCTATCAATCAACAAGAAGAAGACTAGTAACTTACTAGTCAACCATCAAAGGCTGTATACAAGCTCACTCAATTGGAGGTAAAACTGTGAACACTCAACCTTATTAGAAATCTGGAGATTAAATTCAAACAACTGTACTATTTCACACGCATGTGAGAAAAGAAAAAGTAAAAGGATTGTAATGTTCAGTGTTAACAAGAGTATGAAGATATAAAACTCTTATAAACTATACCACAGGAAAATGTGTAAATGAATACATCTTATTTAGAAAGTGAAAGTTGGCAATAACAAAAATTTTCAAGGTATGCAGAATTTCTGTCCAAAAATTTCAATATAAGTATCTACTCAATATAATCAGTTGGTCACAAGATGAAAAAAAAATCAAAAATTGTTCACTGTGGCATTATTTATAATAAAAACCTAAATAAACGTTAATAGAAAAATAATTTGTTATATTAATATAGATAAATATTGTAGAGCAAATGAAACAATTAACAATCTTAAATTTTGAAAATAATGTTGAATAAAAGCAAATTATAAAAACTATACACAATATGGCAAAATCCATGTACACTTTAAAACAAATAACACTATGTTTTATACTTAGGTACATATATAAATGGCTAAAATGTAAATCATGCACTTGGGGTAGTCAGTGACAATGGTGAGGCATAAACATTTCATGATTTACGCCTTCATAAAAGCAAGGAAAAATGTGCCACAATGTGTCAAAATCAACTTTGTCAGGTTCAAAATTGACCAAAGATTGCAGCTACCCATGGAGCAGTTAGTCAAGAATTTTTATTCATTCATAAGTTGGTGGGCATATACATTGTTTCAGTTTTTCCACAACTAGGAATCTTTTTGTTATGATTATTGTTGTGCAAGTTTTATGTGAATAAATGCTTTCATTTACCTTGTGTAAAGACCTGGGAATGGAATCATTGCGTCATGTGGGAATTCATTTCATATGTAAGATTTTGAAAACTTGTCAATGTGTGCTCCATAATGGTTGCACCATTTTATATTCCCACCTCCTATGTATTTGGATTTCCATTTCTCTACATCCTTGCCAATACTTTTTTATTTACGATTTTTGTTTTGTTTTTGAGATGGGGTCTCCCTCTGTCACCCAGGCAGGAGTGCACTGGCGCAATTTCAGCTCACTGCAGCCTCTACCTCCTGCATTCAAGTGATCCTCCCACCTCCGCCACCAATGTAACAGGACCACAGGTGCACACCACCACACCCGGCTACTATTTGTAGAGACAGGGTTTTGCCATATGGTCGAGTCTGGTTTTAAACTACTGGAGTCAAGCGATCTGCCCCCTTTGGCCTCCTAAAATGCTGGGATTACAGGAGTGAGCCACCGTGCCCAGCCTTTTTATGTATTTTTATAATTATGGCCATTCTAATGAGTGAAAAGTTGTGTATCCTTGAGTTTTTATTTAATTTCGCTAATAATTTTTCATGTTGACTAGATTTTCATGTGAATATTGAGTATTTACATACTTTCTTCAGATAATTATATATGCACGTTGTTGCTTAGTTTTAAAAATTTTTTTACTTATATTTTTATTGTTGAGTTATAAAAGATCCTAATGTATTCTGAATCTAAGTGTCTTATCAGATATAGGAATTGCAAATACAGTCTCCAATTCTTTGGATTATCTTTTCACTTTCTTGGTGGTGTCCTTTGAAACAAAAGTTTTTGTTAATGATAAAATCAAATGGATCTATTTCTCTTTTGTTGTTTGTCCTTTTGGCTTCCTAAATAAACAATTATTGCCTAACACAAAGTTAAGAAAATTGACTCCTGCATTCTCATTTCTAAGAGGTTCATTGTTGGTGGTGGTCTTTGCTCTTACATTTAGGTATTTAGCTATTTCGAGTTAATTCTTGTACACAATGTGAAGTAGAGGTCCAACTTCATTCTTTTCATATGGATATTGAATAATATAATAGTTTCAACATCATTTGCTGAAAAAACGATTTTCCATTGTAGGGTCATTTGCACTCTTATTGAAATAAAATGGCCATACGTGTCTTATTTTTGCTAATTCACTGATATTCCATTGACCTACATGTCTGTGGTTATGCCAGGAGCACACCATCTTGATAGCTATCAGTTTATAATTTGTGTAATCAGAAATAGTTGTCCTCCAACGTTGTTTTTAAAAGGTTGTTTTGGCTTTTCCGGGTTCTTTGCATTTTCATATAAACTTTAGAATCAGCTTGTTAATTTCAGCAGAATAGGAAGCTGGGATTTTTAAAGATACTGCATTGAACCTTTAGATAAATGTGGAGAATATTACTACCTTAACAATATTAAACCCCCTATGCCATGAACATGAGATGTCTTTCCACGTACTTAAGTCTTCTTTGATCCCTTTCAACCATGTTTTGTACATTTTTAATATACAGACCTGAACTTCTTTGCCTATTTTTTTTTGTTTTGCATTGTTTTGCTTTTGACAGTCATCTTGGGCTTAGGGTTTTTCAGTAAGTAGACACAGAGTGCGATCAAATACGACAAGCTTTGTGCATGAGACTTTTCAGCAGAACTTCCAGAAAGATCAAAAAGAGAATACTGTCTGTGTAGGGGGTATCTGGGAAGCTCCAAACCTATTCTGTCTCCTCTAGAAGCTGATTGTTGGCTGTTTTTCACAGTTATCTCAGAATGGTGAGAGGAGAAATAAATATGGCAAAGTAAAATGGCACAGAGTGAATCACTTTACTAATATTCAGCCATTTCTCTTGAATGAATATTCCTCAGGTTGTTGCAAGTCTTTGGTGAATATTCAAAACTCTGAAAAGTTGCATTTTATCATTTGGTTACTCTTCTCATTGTTTTTATAAAGAAGTGGATTTTCAGAAGTCCTTATTTCACCATTCCAGAAAGATTTACAATTTTATATATAGTTTTTATTATATTTTATGGGTACATTTATTTTATAACATATTATTTGTCATATATAGCTCTTATATTTGAATGAGGTCATAAACAGGGGAATAGCAGACATCTACTGACTGTTCTGATTATAAATGGGAATCACCTAGAGCAGGGGTCCCCAATCCCTGGTACTGGACCGTGGCCTATTAGTGGCCGGGTTGCACAGCCTGGGGTGAATGGTGGGCAAGCAAGCAAAGCTTCATCTGTATTTACAGCCACTCCCCATGGCTCGCGTGACCGCCTGAGCTCTGTCTCCTCTTAGATCAGTGCGGCGGCACTAGATTCTCATAGGATCGCAAATCCTACTGTGAACTGTACATGTGAGGGATCTAGGTTGCATGCTCCTTATGAGAATCTAATATGCGATGATCTGTCACTGTCCCCCATCACCCCCAGAAGGGACCATCTAGTTAGAGGAAAACAAGCTCAGGTCTCCCACTGATTCTACATTCTGGTGAGTATGTAATATTAATAGAAATAAAGTACACAATAAAATAATGTGCCTGAATCATCCTCAAATCATCCTCTCCCTCCCATCCATGGAAAAATTGTCTTCTATGATACTGGGTCCTGGACCAAAAAGGATGGGGAGCACTGACCTAGAGGACTTAAACAAATACTGACCCTCTTGCCATGTACTTAAAGATTCTCATTTTCTTGCTTGGAGTTGAAGTTCAGAATTTTTTTTTAAAGAAAATTTCTCAGAGGAATTTAATATGTAGCTAGGTTTTTTAAAAATAGTTGAGTTAAAGAGAGCAGGGAGCTGTGGATTAGAAAATGCTCATACCCCTAGAGTAGGGGGCACTCGAGGAGAATGATGCAAGGAATGAAGAGAGAACCCCTCAATCATTAGCCTTGGGGTCTAAGAGATGTAACTAGACAGGTATAAGCAAGGATAAGCTACATGTCCAGGCCTAAGTAATTATAAATATAGGTCCACAAAAAATAAGAATCTTAAAATTCTCTAATCCTCAGAAAGAATGGTGTTTGGAAAGTGTTCTAACAGAAGAAAGGAGGAAAATTTTAGGGGGTGGGGGGAACAGTGAAACAACCACCGCAGGGGGAGAACAGAGCTCTCTGAAAACTTAAAATACCTCCTTAAGATTACAGCTAGCTCATCTGTCATAAGAACAGACTCAGACAGCACTTGATGTATGGGGAGCTGCTCATATATTTATAAAAGTTTAAAGATATTTGGGAGGATCAGAAAGATTAAATCTTCAAAACATCCGTGTGTTGCAGGACACTTACTGCTCTGTAAGATGCAGGTGTGCCACATGCCACGGAATTCAAGGAATTTGGTTTCCAAGCTAAGGACAGCAAGGTGAACTTTATATGATTTAGTGATGGATTGAAAGAGAGGGAGAAGCAACGACTAGGGAGAAAAACAGAAGAAAAATGATTAAAGGCCAGGTACCTGGTTAAATTATACTTTAAGAATATTCATATAGATATTTGGGTAGAAAAATAATTTCAAACATTTTGAAAAAATTTAGGTTGGCTTAAGATTTCAGGTTCGTAACAATATAGGAGACAATAAAATAACAACAGTAAAGTACGAAAAAGGAAATGAACAAAGAGTCCTCTTATCAAAGCGGTGGAGTGGGCACAAAAGATCAGAGAAAATGTGAGTGTGCTCATTCTTTGTGTTTTTTGAAATTAAATGATATTGCCCAAGGCTGAATATCAAAAAATTAAAAACTACATCTAGCATTTTAAAGGTTAAAGGAAACCTCTAGGATAACTAAAAATAGGTATAATTTAAAAACAAATCAGAGCTGGGAGGAAAGGGGCCTTGCAAGGAAGAGTTAGTATCAAATGTTCTCTTATTCAACAGTGTGGAATTATACCTATTTTCTAAAGTGCTAAGATTTGGAGTAATGTGTTTCAATTTACAAAGCTCATTATTGTAAAAAATTAGACTATTAACTTTCCAAATTGCTGGCAGGAAAATGTGAGCCTCAGACATTGACACCAAGAACAGAAAGTATAATCTTTATAGGAAAAGTGACAAAATGCAGCAATATGACAATCACAGAAAGGCAACATGAAAGTCAAGCATATCACTGTAAAAAGAAATATAAGTGGATAGAGATAGATTAGTAGATATTAAAAGGAAAGGGGTCTCAGATTGACTTTAAATATAAATCCCAAAGACGAATGGTAGAGACAAAGTAAGTAAAAGGTTAGAAAAACCCAACGGTGGATGTCTAATGAATAGGAGACCTGGTGATGCCAATATCAGCCCAGAGGGAGTTCGACGGAAAAGATGTTTAAAAGTCAAACGGCATTACCATATGTGCCAGGTCCTGGCAGGAAATGGTTGGCTTGTTCAAATTGAAGTAATATAAAATGTGTTTGATAAAGGAAATATTTATCTAAGTCTGGGCAGAGTAAAGGAAAACTGAAGGAAAGAATCCATTGCCCGGGCGCAGTGGCTCACGCCTGTAATCCCAGCACTTTGGGAGGCCGAGGCGGGCAGATCACGAGGTCAGGAGATCGAGACCAACTTGGCCAACAAGGTGAATCCCCATCTCTACTAAAAATTTAAAAATTAGGTGGGAATGGTGGTGCGAGCCCGTAATTCTAGCTACTTGGAGGCTAAACTGGGAGAATCGCTTGAACCCTGTGGCAGAGGCTGCAGTGAGCCGAGATGGTGCCACTGCACTCCAGCCTGGACGACAGAGGGAGACTCCACCAAAAAAAAAAAAAAAAAAATCTATTACCCCAGCGCTAGGCATTCCAGAGTCCTCCTGTCTGACCTGTGCGAGGAGGAGGAAGTTAGGGAGCTGGAGAGGGCTGCCCAGCCGGCCGTGATACATTCATGGGTGCTTTGACCATTCAGATTCACAGCTGGCTGGAGGAGCCCAGTGGGAGGGACCCTGTTGAAGGAATGCACAGACTTATGCTCCTCCCTATGCTTGATCCTTGTCAATCCCAAATGAATAAGAGAGGGCAGAAGAGCCCAGTGAAATAGTGCCTATAGGTTGGCCTCCGGGGCCACTGAGCCATGAGCAGGAGTGTGGAACTTATCTAGCAGCCAGGGAGAAGTTACCCAGCACACCTCACAAGAAACAGAGTGAAAGTCACAGAAAGAGCACAGCCATCATCGAACTTGACGCCCCAAATCACGCTAAAAATAAATCAAGCAAAACTAGGAAATGCAAGGATAACGGAAATATGGTTGCAGTGAGACGCCTACCTCACTCTGCATCCATAACAGATGAAGTAGACAATAACTAATTTAGGATATAGATCATTTAAGCTGAATCATGTTCGTGTTCTACCTTGATAGTAGCATACACCTCGTTTGAAACACAGATAATATGTTTCAAAGCACGTAGAAGAAAATCCTCAAAGTGATTTTTATGATGCCAATTAAATCCTGACAAAGGTAAACCAACAGAGAAGATATTGCACGCATACACACACACACATTTACAAACTTGTATACATATAGTTAACAATGCCAGTAAATATTTATCATTTCTTTGTGGTGAGAATATTTAAAATCTTCTATTAGCTATACTAAAATTTGATTGTTCCACAGTGTGTATGTGTATCAAAATATCACTTTGTACCCAATAACAGGCAATTATTGTTTGTCAATGAAAAATAAAATAAAGCTTAAAAAAATCAGAAAATGCAGTTCAGCAGTGCCTTACAAAATAATACATTATGACCAAACGATATTTGTTTGAGTCGAAGATAGTGGGGTGACTGGAGTTATAGACAATGTATATAAAATTATAAAACAATATAATTTAAAATTTAACTTCATATTATATAAATATATGTCATATTAATATATTTACTGTTATTAATACAATTACATTATACCATATTCATAGGTCAATGAATTGTCACCATATGATCATTTTACTAGATGTATAAAGTGTCTTTGGCAGAAGGTAACATTAATTTAAAATGTAATCTTGTTAGACTAGGAGCAGATTGATACATGTGTGAAGTAGGAATGTTTCTATCTCACTCCAGATATCTCCTTCCACGTGGAAGGAGCTAGCTTAGTTCTCCACCCCAGGCTTCTCTCGCTGGGTGACTCATGGGTATTTTTCCTATTTGGGGTAAGTCTGTGTTTTAGTTCCTTATCATTGCTATAAAGGAGTACCTGAGACTGTGTAATTTATTTTTTGTGAAGTGTATTTTGGCTCATGGTTCTGCAGTCTCTACAGGAAGCAGGGTACCAGCATCTGCTTGGTTTCTGGGGAGGGCCTGAGGAAGCTTGTGTTCATGGCGGACGGTGAAGGGGAACCAGTGTGTCACAGCAGGGGAGGGAGCAAGACAGAAAGTGGAGGAGGAGGTGCCAGGCTCCTTTAAACAACCAGCTTTCCTGTGAACTAACTGAATGAGAACTCACTTATGACCATGGGGAGGGTGTCAAGCCATTCATGAGGGATCTGACCTCATGACCGAAACACATCCCACCAGTCCTCACCTCCAACACTGGGGATCACATTTCAACACGAGATTTGGAGGGACAAAACATCCAAACCATATTCGTCTGCCTGCAGAGAGCTCAGGTTCACCTCTGTTCTTGCAACTCTGCCATGACTCAGAGCCTAGGAGTGGAGGACTGACGAATCCTGACGTCACCATTGGCTCAGGTGTCTCACATATGCAGGTGTCTTGCATGTGGAGGTCATTCTCTGTCTTAGATGACAGACATCCAGGGCAAGACGTGGACCTCCATCTACCTTGTTTCTTGTCCTTCTCCCTCTCTTTATTGCATTTATGTGCTATTCTTTTTTTTTTTATACTTTAAGTTTTAGGGTACATGTGCACAACGTGCAGTGTTACATATGTATACACGTGTATACATATGTATACATGTGCCATGTTGGTGTGCTGCACCCATTAACTCGTCATTTAATATTAGGTTTATCTCCTAATGTTATCCCTCCCCCCTACCCATACTTGCTATTCTTTTTTAGGAAGAAAAAAATTAATTGTAAATTGACTCATTTGTTTCAGGAACTGTCCAAGGAAGGGATGCATCAGGTTCTGGTAAACACAATAAAAATTAAAAAAAAAAAAATCACAGAACCAGAATCACACTGAAAGGTAAAAGAGGAGAAATATTGATATTTATTGGAACTAGACAATAATTTCCACTATTATCCTTATAAATTAACACCTGGTGGATAAATATTTGAAAGAAAATGGCATCATTTTCATAACTTGTGAATGGTATCATTATATGCCATAGAAAACAATTATTCAGCTTAAAAACCACTAAATATATGTAAGAAAATTCAGAAAAGTAGAAAGCAATGTACAAAAATGAATAGTTTTTCAAACAATAGTGATGACTAGTAAGGAAGCATAATGGAGTTGGCTCTTCACATCCGTGGATTTCACCACCCTGGTTTCAAACCAACTGGAGATAAAAATGTTCTGGTAAAGAAAAAATGAATGGTTATATCTGCATTGAACATGCACAGTTTTATCCTGTCTTTCCCCAAAAAATAATGTATAGCAATGATCTACATTGGATTAGGTATGTAAGTAATTTAGAAATAATTTAAAGTATACACAAGGATGTAGGTCGCTTTGATGCAACTAGTTTGCCATTTTATATAAGGAACTTGAGCAACTTTAGATTTTGGTATTATTAATGCAAGTGGATCAAAAATTAATACAAAAATGAAATCCTAATATGTAGAAGAAAGTATAAATCTACATATGGTTTCTTAGAAAAATATTTCTATTAATATTAATCATATCTAAGCTATATTTAGTACCCATTATCAGCTGTGAATTATTCTAATTATTCTAGAAAAACTAACATTAAAAAATGAATAATGTTGCAAACACATCTGCTGGGGGAAAAATCATAAGTATAATGAACTGCATGATAGGCATGACAAAGTTCCTTCTTTTTATTGGCAAAGTATTGAGGCAAAACTTTAAAACTAAGATCCAATAGAAAAATATGCAATTTATATGGACTCAAAGTTCACAAAAAAGACACATAAATGCCAAAATAAACCTACGGAAAGATGCTAAACTTTGAAAAAACCTTCATACTAAACAATAAATTGTTATTACTCCCTTATCAATTGGCAGAAATTCCTGGTGATTTGTGGGGAAAATACAATTCCCACGCACTTCAGGCGAGAAATTAAATTGGCACAAACACTTCAGAGCACAGTTGCTAATAGACATCTACATTTAAAATGCACATTAAACTGTGATGAGCAATTCCAGCATTCAGAATTTAAATTATGGATACACTTTTTAAAAATCCCAAGACATGTCAACAAGAATACGCATGGACCATTGTTCCTAATAGTGAAAACGTAAAAGTAACAAAAATGTCCGTCAAGAGTAAAGTGATTTTACAAAAATGATTTATCCCATGATAGCATAATAAGGAACATTATGCATGTTTTACAAAGAATGAGCCAGAATTTTATGGGAAGAGTTTGAAACTACATCAGTAGGAAATAAAGTCAAGGAAACCAGATAGTGTGGCTTTCACAAGATATTCTGTAGATGATAATGGTCGCATAGTTATGTGTATCATTATTTTTTTCAGGAAGGATATCTGAAAAGCAGACACCATTGATTTCCTTTTTCTAGAAGGGTGTGTGTGTTGTGGGTGTCAGTGTGTCAATGGCAGGTGCATTGCATTAATAAGATGGAAAATTTTGTTGTTCTCCAGTCTTAACCTGTGCGTCTACTACTTTTACTTACAAACCATCTAAAGAGGTCATCTTCTATTCTGTAAAACAATTGAACGTCTTCTACTGCTCCCTATATTATTCTATAACAAAATAAGTGTGTGTGTATGTGTTTTTAAGTAGGAGAAAAAATATATGGAGTAACCCATCAGTCACTGGAGAGTAGAATTTAAAAAGATTGGTCAGCCATGCCCCAGTCCAGCAAACTGAAATTTAAACAAAGATTCTGAGCAGTGCAGTCCACAAACACCTTTTTGTAGGGTATAGGGGGCTCTCATATTATGGCTATTTGAAATAGTATATTTGCAGAAAAAAATTAGTTTACTATAAAATTTGTATTTTTCGATATTCTGGTAAAATCAACCATCCCTGTGTATGGGTTTGTGTGACATCAGAACTGCTACTGAATAATGACTAACCTTGTTGGGTTGGAAATGTACTTTCCATTCTCCTCCCCTCATATTTTACTGACCATTGAGTTTGAAATATCTAGAAACCGAGACCTAGAAGTTGGAATAGGATGGTGTGTGTGCATGTATATTTGTATCTTTGCTTGTCTGTGCTCCAGTGAAGGTGCAGACTAGCTTGGTAGGATTTATTATGTCCCCACTTATTAATGATTAAAAACAAATCCAGTATTTTAATTACAGAAAAGTCAAGAATAGAAAAATATGAGAAATCACTATTGTCAGGTAAATTCCAGAATCCTGATAAATAACAGATAATATTGAGTTTTCCTGCTCATTGTGCACACTATTTAAATTATAATTTTAGTTTTATCCATGCATTTCTACCTGTCTAACTTATCTTCCAAGTTTGTGACTGGGGAATGAGCCATAATTCAAATTCACAAATAACTTAAAAGCCCACTGTATCCAAAACCTTCAGATATATTCAAAGTATCTAATGGGTAACAAAATGATTTGTTTCTCTCCATCTCTCTCTGCTCCCTGGTGGAGCTTCTATAAAAGATAGGCTTCAGAGGAGAAGAGGGTGGAAAAAGTCTCCAGATATCCCATAACTGCAAAATCGGTTAAGCCTGCATAATCAGCCATAGGTGCATCAATGATATCCTGCAAATATCTGGAGAGAAACGGAGTCATACATGTTTGAAACTCCAACATCAAAATTGTGCCGACATGATGGCTTTACAGATTTACACAATTACCGAGTTAAAAGAATGCGGCAGATGTCGATATTGTGGGAAATCATTCACACCTGAACAATGAACCCCTCTAATGTTTTTCTACATTAATTCAGATTGCTTCTTATATTAGCTCACCAGCTTGTGGGCTGAAAGCTCAATGAGGGACTGATCTAAAAAGTGATGATAAAGGATGGTAAATTAAAGCAAGATTTAGAAATCTAGGAATAGTTGGCTGTGATGCTGATTTGTATATGAAGATCTACATGAGCATGATAATGTGTTTGGATCTTGCTGAATTCTAGAGTGTTTTTTTCCATGTTCACATAAAATACATACAAAGAAGGAAAAGCAACTCACATTTGTTTTTGTTTACTAAGTTTTGACAGCCACAAATCCATTATAATGATTTAAAATATCTTTAATAAAGGTATCAAAGCGTATGGAACTGGGCAGAACTCCAAAATATTGTGGTCATTTTTATCAGCCTTTAAGCCGGACCAACTTTATAAAAGGTTAGTAGAATGATTATCATTAACACTTTAAAATTCATAATCCAGTTTCATTTATATTGTGTTGTCTCAACTGATCCCTGCATAAGCCATGACATCCTGATGTTATTTTCCTCATTTTTATGTAGAAGCCAGGCCTGGCTTGGCTAAGAGCCTTGTCTGAGAGGAAAGCCAGAAGTCAAACAGGAACTCCAGGTTCTTTTTTTAAATTTTAAATTCCCACTCTTTTCAGAAAACCCACTCTTTCCCACCAGGCATCGTCAACAAACATCCTTTGATATTAATTGAGGGTCAACTAAGGAAGGCCTGGTTACAAAACTCTGCCTTGAGTCTGCCTTTGTAGGGTTTCATGTTCTTAAAACAGTCCTGTAGGCCCACTGTAACTTGATTTTAGTTCTATCCCCAGCACAACACCAAATACAACAACCTCAGCTGTGTTTAAAACGTTAAATAGAATGATAAAAGAAAATAATTTAAATATCTGGAATGCTGTTCACTTTACAAAGTCGATGCACATTGCACGTCTGCACTTCATGTTCACAACAATACTGTGTGAAGGCGTGAAAGCAACTGTTATTATCTTGTCTAGAAAATTTTACAGTCCAGTGGAGGAGATAACACCTTAACCAGAGCCAGATACCATCTACTCGAAATTTTATTTTACCCAAAATGGCGATCCTGTTTTCTTTTTATCTGTGTCTTTACTCTTGATTGATCGGGTCCTAATTATCTGAGCTGAGTTGGGATAAGTCTTGTCTCATTCTCATGTCACAGTTTTGAGGCTTGCACAAGGAGGTCTTTATAGGAGGCCTGGACATGGGCTGCTGCTTCATTGAACATTCACCTGACGCCTCCCAAGGCTGTTGTGAGCCAAACATAACTTCTGTCATTTGACAGCATTTCCCTCTTTGGTCTATCATGAGTAATCTGTGAATGAATTCCTTTCTCAGTGCATACTGTGTTTTCAGCCATGTGCAGGGCACTGAAGAATCCCCTAGCTCATACTATGACCTCAGTTTACATCTCCAAGTTTTACAGTTGGCATTTTATGTGAATAAAATTTGTTTTATTAGCAGAACCAAATATTTATAAATTATGTATAATTGAGAAAGCATAAGGTGATATTATTTCTAATTTCAATTGTGTAAAACATTAAGTACCAGGCACATACTCCAAAATAAAGAGGTCATGTTAATAAGAGTAAATTTTCAGTAGCTCTTATTTTATCACCAACCCAATTGCTTATAAGTAGTGCGTGAATGCTACTTGCAATAGGTGATGTTTTTGTTATAATACATTTTTAATAATAAATTTAATAAACATGATTAAATTGCTATGTCATCTTTTAGTCTAATCTCAAAATATTTTATTTGATTTTGTAGGCTTCCTGGGAGAACATATTTTTATGCAGTTATAATGAAAAATAGTTTGCATTAAATTTACATTAACTTTGCCCTTTTCAGAATTGCATAAAAGTGTAAAACATGCCAGCCGGGCACGGTGGCTCACACCTGTAATCTCAGCAGTTTGGAGGCAGAGGCGGGCAGATCACTACGTCAAGAGTTCAAGACCAGCCTGGCCAACATAGTGAAACCCCATCTCTACTAAAACGGCAAAAATTAGCCAGGCGTGGTGGTGAGCGCCTGTAGTCCCAGCTACTCAGGAGGCTGAGGCAGGAGAATCGCTTGAACCCGGGAGGCAGAGTTTGCAGTGAGCTGAGACCACGCCATTGCACTCCAGTCTGGATGACAGAGTGAGACTCCATCTCAAAAAAAAAAAAAAAAAAAAAAAAAAAAAAAAAAAAAAAAAAAAAAAAAATGTAAAACATGTTTAAAAGAGAGTACTTAGTACTTGAAGTTTGGAACCTTATTTTCAAGTGTAAATATTTCAGCTCATTTTCCTTCTGATTGTTCTGACTTAGTGTGAGTTTTCTTGCCTGATTCAGGTCCCCGAAGGCAGGTTTACAGTTCCCTGGTTCAGTTGATTTCCAGACATTTGAACAGAGAAAGCTATCCGGCTAAGCATGAAAAGAGTATTTTCCCCTCTGCTCACATATCTTAAAAAAATGAAAACGATTTGCCTCTAGTTCTATTCCATTTCACTTTACATTTCCCGTCTCTTTCCCTCTACACATCAAAATAATTTTTAAAGATTCAAAATTGGGCTTAAAAAGTTGAAATTCAAAGCAGGGTATTTCAGAAGGCATACTCACTTGCAAAAGTAGTGTAAACATTATTCTGCCTTACATTTGAGGCCATATCCTTTTTGTCTACTCCTAACCATTGTCATGCTGAGGACACAGTGCTAATGCTACACATTTCTGCTTTTGTGGAGGTGGCAGATAAAACATGTTTCTGGCCACCCTTTCTCCAACTTTCGGCTGTAAAGGCAAACTCCTCCTATAGGGTCGTTTTCCAGGCTCTCTCGAGTCGGGCCCACTGTGCTCAGGACCGAAGGTTGCTCCTGTCCCCTTCCACTTCCCCTCCACCCTCTCCCTTCCTTCGTTGTCCCTGTAGGCTGTTTTCTGCCCTTCCACGCCTTCATTTTTGACCTCTTGCCGTTACCCCTTCTCCTTATCACTGTCCTGGTTCATGGCCTCATCACCTCTCCCAACTACCGCCACAGTCCTGTTTCTGGTTTTGGCCACTCCCATCCTTACCCACTAACACTGCAACCAGACCCTCTGGTCCTCCAGCCCACAGGCCCCTGCACCTTAGCTTGCAGGAGGGACTCCCAGGGTTTGGGATGAGGCACGGGGCTGTGGGCAGTGGCCCCTGCTGAGTGTCCAGCTTCATTCTCGACCACACTGCGTGCTTCTTCCCACTCTCTGCCAAAATCAATCCCTGAATCTCCCATGAGGACGCTGTCAGGCTTTTGCTCTCTCAAGTCGGGTCTGATTTTTTTTTTTCCTCTCCCGCAACCTGCACACCACTGATCTTGATCTTGGATTGGGGATAGGCTCTCTCCCTAAGCTTCACTTCTACACTTCTACTTCCAGGTAATTGTTCCTACATCCTCCCCAAAAACAGTCCTCCTTGGAGGCACAGGACAGGAGACTGCATTATTGAAACCCATGCGTTTCGTAGCCCTTCACCACCTGCCTCACCTGAGACTGGCTTTTTGTGTTTTTTTGTTTTGTTTTGTTTTGTTATTTTTATTTTTTTCAAACTGTACCAATTACTTCAATTGCTCAAGAAGGTCATTTTTTTCTTTTCTTTCCTTTCCTTTTTTTTTTTTTTTTTTTTTTTTCTTTCCTAGACAGGGTCTCACTCTGTCTCCTGGGCTGGAGTGCAGGGCACAGTCACAACCTCAGCTCACCACAGCTTTGACCTCCTCCTGAGCTCAGGTGATCCTCCTGCCTCAGCCTCCCAAGAAGCTGGGACTACAGGTGCACGCTGCCACAATCGGCTACTTTTTGTATTTTTAGTAGAGACGGGGTCTTGCCCTGTTGCCCAGGCTGGTCTCGAACTCCTGGGCTCAAGCAATCCGCCCACCTTGGCTTCCCAAATTGCTGGGATTACAGGCGTGAGCTACCGTGCCTGGCCCAGGGCTTATCACTGGTGCTGTTGTCCTTCATGAAGTCAGCGACCTTGCAGACATTGTTAACCCCAGGCCTCTTCGTTTCTATTAATTCTGTCTTCCGCTACAAGAGGTGACGCTCATGCGGTGGGTCCATCTTAGAGACGGCATCACGGCCCTGAGTCCTTCCCAGTCCTGACTGAAGATATCACATTCTCAGTCCACAACCCTCTCTTCACACGCTTTCTTCAAGTACCCTGAGTCAAACAAATATTTAAGTACCCTGCTACTTCCTATCCATAGAAACAATCTTAGTTTCCATGTCTACCACCTTCCTCAAATGCTCATCTCTCTTTATACTCAACTGTGACGCTGCCATCTGTCTTTTCTGTCATCTCTTCCCTTTTTAAACCCTTCATCTCCAATACTGTTTGTGAAATTTGCAGTTACCTAGATAAAACTTCTTTTGTCATAGCCAGGAAGACCTGAAGGAGAGGGGTCTCATGCCTACTTGTCTAAGACAAGATAACGATATAAGATAAGATTAAAAACCCCACAAAAAACCCATTTGTGTCCTTCAGGCATTCTCTGCTTTGATAAAGCTTATCGGTAGACAGGCTCTAGGACTGCAGTAATTCAGTTAAAATGTTCTTGGAAGAACATTTGCCCGGTTACTTGCATCTCCACCAATGAAGTGACAGCAACTCTGGTTTTGGGCCTCTGGAACCAATGAACTGTGTTTCTAAGCAGCTTATGCAAATCTCTTTTTGCTAACAAAAGCTCCCTTTCCCTTCCCTCCAGAATGCACTGGTGACTTGCCATTTCATGCATCCCGATTATAATCCTTATTTCTATTCCTGAGTAAACTCAACATGCTTAGAGATAATTTTTTCCTGTGTCTTCTTTTTTTTTCAGTGCTGACATCTTCATTTTCTAATTCCTAAATTAAATCTAATGTTGGTGATTATACCTGCATGGAAACGCCTGAAATTGGTTGGTGCTGGGGCAAGACTAGAAGAAAAAATACACAACTGTGCAGACTGAACTTATTTTTTATTTTTCAGTACAACCTTTATGGAGACCCTCACTATCTCTCAATTCTATGTCTCCCTAGTCAGTTATCATTGAAATAATTGTTTCACACATTTTCTCTTTCTGAACCACCACCACCTTCAACCTTCTCTCCTATCTGATGAGACTGATTCTTATGTAACTGAGAAAATACAAAAACATCACTAGAAAATCCGCCACACTTTCCTTCCAAGTCTATTCTACCTTCTTCATATGAAGGATTGTCCCTCCAGCTTCCTCTTGAACAACTATCAGGCCACTTGTGTAGTGTGTCCCACCCCTGGCCTCCTCCTTGAGATGGGTGTGCCTCTTGTTTATCTTCTGTATCATCAATTTTCCCTTTCTATTAGTTTGTCCCCATAAGCATGTTCCAATATCTCCCATAATTTGAAAACGTGTATCCTCAAATACCACTTTAGGTATCACCATATTTTCTTCTCTTCTTTATAGAAAAACGTCTGAATGCAGGTATATTAGTCCATTCTCACACTGCTGTAAAGAAATACCTGAGACTGGGTAATTTATCTTATAAAGAAAAGAGGTTTCATTGGCTCATGGTTCCATTGGCTGCACCCAAAGCATAGCAGCTTCTGCTTCTGGGAAGGCTTCAGGAAGCTTCCAATCACGGTGGAAGGCAAAAGGGAAGCAGGGGCATCTTACATAGCCAGAGCAGGAGGAAGAGAGAGCCAGGGGGGAGTTGCTGCACACTTTTAAGCAACCACGTATCTTGACAACACGATCACAAGAATAGCACCAATGTAATCATGGTAAATCACTCACGAAGGATTCACTCCTGTGATCCAATTACCTCCCACCAGGCCCCACATCCAACATTGAGGATTACAACTAAACATGAGATTTTGGTAGGGGTACAGATCCAAACCATAGCACCAGGGGTCCATGTCTATTCCTCACCTCCCATTTCCTTTAAACCCATGCCAATCATATTTTATATCACACTTTCATAGGGGAAAAAAATCCCACCTTTTTCAAAGTCGCCGGTGAATTACATGTTGCCATGTCTAGTGATCAAGTCTGTTTTTATTTTGCACTGCCTTTCAACACTTGGCATGTGGAATCACATGCTTTTCATGACACATTTTCACATGGCTCCTGGAACACCACAAGCTCTTGATTTTTCTTCTGTCTCGCTTTCTACTCTTTTTAAAATTTCATTCTCTCTTCTCTTCTTCATCCTCACTTTTTTTTTTTTTTTTTTTTTTTTTTTTGAGATGGAGTCTCGCTCTGTTGCCCAGGCTGGAGTGCAGTGGTGTGATCTTGGCTCACTGCAACCTCTACCTCCAGGGTTCAAACGATTCTCCTACCTCAGCCTCCTGAGTAGCTGGGTCTACAGGTGCCCGCCACCACACCCGGCTAATTTTTTGTATTTTTAGTAGAGACAGGGTTTCACCATGTTAGCCAGGATGGTCTCAATCTCCTGACCTTGTGATCCGCCCGCCTTGGCCTCCCAATATCCTCACATTCTTTACAAGCCAACACCAGCTCTTAGGCTTCAAATGCCATCTTTAAATCAATGATTCACAAACCTTACATTTCAGTTTCCCAACCCTTTCCTAATTTCCAGGTTACTAATAACTGCAGTTGCCCATCAGGCAGCTCCCTGTGGATGTCTAATAAACAACTTAATGTTGCCTTATCAAAAGGCAAGGCATGTGAAAAATACAGTGAATTAGTATCTCCACCAATGATATTGTTGGGGTTCAGGTCTACCTATGGGTCCACTTTTAACCTGGTCCAGTGCTCATGAAGCAACCAAATGAGGTGGGATAGGTAGTCAAAGAAATAACCATGTCCTGGGGATGTGGCAACCATGGTGCTTGCACTGTCAACACAACAAGCCCCAGCATTCGCATTGTAATTGAGCTCATCAAGCCCAGCCAGCTCAGGTGGGGAATTTCCCCTGTACAGAGCTGTGCATTTTGATTTTACCTGTCCTCAGTTGACTCTTTGCTCATCACAGTAGTAAAAACCACACCCTTGGGTAGAGATTGAAGATGCTAATGAGACATGAGATATATGAACAAGCGTGTACAGAGACTGTGCATGTGCACCCGGAAGACCAACCAGAACATGCTTACTGGCAACGCCTTTTCCCACCCTCTTAAGAATAATCATGTAAGTCTTCCATAAAGCGAGTCACCCCAGTGACATTCGAGGCTGACTCATCCTCATGAGCAGCCTGCCCTGAATCCTGTCTCAAAGGGTAGTGTCTATTCTGCACCTAGGTTTCAAAATATTCTTTCTCCTTTCCATTGAAGTGCTCTATGCTGCATCTCCTTTGCTGTGTGTCTCTTGCTTAAATTCTTTTAACCTAAAAAGACAAGAGCCAAGGACCCAAAACTGCTGTCGTCACAAACACTGTGTTTGGTGATTCTCCATGTATCACCCCGGAAGTCCACTGCTGTCTGTCCAATCTCTCCCCCATGTGTTCCCCAATTTACAAAATACTTTCCTTCATGATTTTCCTATTGTACCATACCAACACCCCTCTGGTATAGTGAGTTTACCCCTGTTCTGCAGATGGAAAACAAACTCAAAGGATTTCAGTTTCTGGCCAGACGTCACACAGCTGGTTAGTGAAATGGCAGAAGGAAGATATGGCCCCTGGCTCCACTGCCTCCAGACCCACATTTCTCCCCATTCCTTTGCCCAAGGGCATCTTCTGGAGAAAGAACCAGTGTTCATGGTGTAGACCTCTTGTTAGGAACTTCATGGTGCTAGATCCAAAGATGGTCTCACCAAGTACCAGGGACGTCCCTCCCTAATCCTTTTTATATAACAGCCAGATTCTCCAACCCTGATCTTTACAATGGTGACTCACTGCCCCCAGGCAGAGGAAACCCTCAGTTGGAGGTGTGGACCATAAAGAGTAGCGTTATGATTTGGAAAGACAACTGTCCTCGTTGGGCTTCGGTCTACCCCACAGTGAAAAGAGGTGGGATGGATATATGAGGTCCACTCTGTACTTCTAAGCCCTATTACTAAATCCAGGGTCTCTGAAGTTGTTTAGTCTCTTGCATGCATGCTGAGTAATGCATGCGCTATCTAACCTCACTAGGACCTGTAAGGCACTGCACAGTCTTGCCCCTGACTGTTTCTCATCTATGAGCACTCTTGCCCTGGTGACAAGATTCCAGCCATGAGTGCTTTCTTGCTGTTCCTTAAACACTTCAGAGCTGCTCCCACCTAGTCATGCTGGACTTTCCCTGTTCGCTGCCTGCAATGCTCTCTTCTAGATATTAACATTCCTCAATTCTTCAATGTATTCTGATTTCTGTTTAAATATCATGTTTCTGCATAAACCTTTGAATATCCTGTCTAAAAGAAAACACTTCTATCACTAATTTTTTTACTTCATAGCATTTTTCACGACCTTAACTAAGATATATATTTGCTCTCTTTGTATTGTCTGTCTCCCTTTTTTATTGTTCCATAAACATAAGGAGTTTTTCCTCAGCTATTTCTTGATGTCAGTTCCATAATTTCTCAATATTTATGTGTGGAATGCAGGAACAAATGTTACGGCCCCTACTAACCTTTGCACTATGATATATTTATGTAAATTACACTGGCAGTGTGTGTAGCATAGATCAGAAGTGGGTGGAGAACACAAATAGGGGCCCAGTTAGAAAACTATTGCAGTAACTCAAGAATACACGATTACAACCAAAGTTATGGCAGTAGAAGTAAAACTGTCAAAGAAAAGGCAGTATTTTTTTTAAATGGAAGACCATTTTTTGTTTATTCTTTTTTTCTTAAACGTTGTAATTTTTCTTCCAAACTGAGACAGACTAGGAAAAAAAAACTGTCTTCAATGAAGATTTGAATAAACCACAACTCCACAATGCATACCTAATATTGTGAAATTTGGACTCGGATAAAAGGATGCTGAGATTTAATATAAAAATCATCAAGCCTCAGGCAGAATAACAACTATTTTGTAAAAATAAAAGCAAAAATTCCAAAATAGGTGCTCTTTGGTTACAGATGGAAAGACCATGACAGAAATCTGTGTTGACTTTCTAGGATTTCAATGTGACACTATAGAATGTCTTGAAAAGTAGTTAGAAGTTACTCTTTGTGGCATTTCTAGGTTTTCACAGTGCAGCCTTCAAGCCTAGGGGAATTACTACAGGCCGAGAGGTTTGAGGGGTGGATGAAATGCAAAAATTTGAAGATGAGGATCCCTTCCTCAAGGAGTTTTGCTGTAAACCTTACCAACTCCTTGAATGCCAAATATTAATATGGGAGATTTTCTTTCATCATTGGGCATTTCAGCAGGAGTTATTTGTGAAAAGCCCAAATCAAAGTTGTTAACTGTGTGTTGATTATACCACCTGCACTTGTTCAACGTGTGCTTCAACTCTTCAGGCCGTGCAAAAATAGGAAATGAGCACAAAGAAAACCCTTTAAGATCTATCTATAGATATTGAAAAATAGCTAAGAACATGAGTTCATAACTAAAAATACAAATGATAAATTAACCACGTGGAAAATATAGACATAGAATTCTGTCCAAAGCTTAATTACACAAAGAAACAGAAATCATTAAACTTATACTTTTTGGAAAAGAACTCTTATTCAAAAAATAGAAAGTTTCAAAAAAGAGATATAAGGATTCAAATACATCAGTAGAAAATAAAACAGAATAAACAAAAGAAAACAGTAAGCTGTGAAAGCTCAGGTCCAAATGAAGCAAAATCTTTACCAAAATAAAAATGAGTGTTGCTTTAGAAACAGAAAACAATTATGTGGGTAGGATACAGAAAGCTGAACTAATTATATAGAAATAAGTAATTGGTAATAGGTAATAGCTTTGGAAGACAAAGAAGGTTTAATTCTCAATTTCCTCAAAAGCAGAATTAAGAAATGGAATGAAAAAAATAAGTTTGGAAATATTAGAAAAGTAAACTTTCCTGAAATAATTTGTATCTACAAGTTAAAAGAATGCAAAGCATTCTATTTCTCTTTAAATATTTTGTCTGTAATCTCAGCATTTTATGGGGCTTGGGAGGGTGAATTGCTTAAGCCTAGGAGTTTGAGATCATCCTGGGCAACATGATGAAACCTCGTCTCTAAAAAAAAATACAAAAGTTAGCCAGGCATGGTAGTGCACACCTGCAGTCACAGTTATTGGGGAGGCTGGGACTGGAGGGTCACCGGAGCCCAGGGAGATTGAGGCTGCAGTGAACCATGATCCCACCACTGCATTCCAGCCTGGGAGACAGAGGGAAACCCTATGTCAAAAAATAAAATAAAATAATAAAATAAAGTAAATATTTTACCATTGGGTCATATTTATGTTCATCTTGCTATGAATGATCGGGGAATTAGCACTTTTTACTTAGACTCTCCTCCTCTCTCCTCATTTCCGTTAGAATAATTCTGTACTAGATCTTCCTGGGAAAGGTATCATTGCTTTGTTTTGTTTTTATCATGAATGAGTGTTGGATTTTGTCAAATATTTTATCTCCATCAATTTAAATGATCGTATGATTATTCTTCTTTAGTCTGTGGATGTGATGAATTACGTTAATTACATTTTGAATATTGAACCAGATGATCTGGAATAAATCCCACCCAGTCAAGATGTATTCTTTTTATACATAATTAGATTTGATTTGGTAATATTTTGCTAAGAATGTTTGCATTTATGCTCATGAGAGATTTTGATCTATAATTTTTCTTTCTTATAATATCTTTGTCTGGTTTTGGTATTACAGTAATGCTGACCTTATAGAATGAGTCAGGAATGTTTCTTCTGTTTCTGTTTCCTGGAAGAAATTGTAAAAAATTGGTATAAATTTTTCCTTAAATATTTGGTACGATTTACCAGTGAAACTACTGGAGCCAGCTACTTTCTGTTTGGGAAGGTTACTAATCATTGTACCACTTTGTTTTGTACGTATACACCTATTCATATTGTCTTTTTCTCCTTGAATAAGCTTTGGTAGAGTGTGTCTTTCAAGGAATTGGTCCATGGTATTAAAGTTTTCAGATTTGTGGGCATAGAGCTGTTCATAATATTCCCATAATATGCTTTTAATGCTCCTGACTTCCATAGTGATGGCCGCTTTCACATACCTGTTCTTAGTAATTTCCTTTCTTCTGTTTATTTTGGATTTACTATTCCCTTTATTATCTAGTTTCCTAAAGTAAAAGCTTAGATTATTAATTTTACACTTTATTATTTTATAGTGCACCCATTTGACGGTATAAATTTCCCTCTAGCACAGTGTTTGCCCTAGCATTTGCTATATACATTCACAACTGTTCTAAGCCCGCTTGAAAATAACCCTATATCACCCAAAGAGAAGTGTGGGTACCAAGAATTCTCAATTCCTTCCTGCTGTCCTGTACAACACTATGATCATTATTTCACTAACTCATAAGCTGTAATAACTAAATACATTGTAGCTATTATTATTTTGAATAATCAATATCATTTAGCGATACAAAATAAACATTATTTTACCTTCATTTATTACTTTGCCTAGCACTCATTCTTTATGTAGGTATGCAGATTTCAAAACCTGGATATCTATATAGGTCAGATATGAGTTTTTAACCTGCATAATTTCCCTTCTTTCTTTTAGCATTTCTTGACATTAGTGTCTCCTGGCAGCATATTACCTTAATTTTGTTTGCCTGATAAAGTCTGGTTTTACATGACTTTTAAAGAACTATTTCACTGGATGCAGAATTCTAGGTTAGTGGGATTTTTTTTTTTCATTTATTGCTTTAAATATTTTACTTAGTTTTCTTCTTGCTTGCATAGTTTCTGAAAAGAAGTTCATTGTATTTTTTTTAAGACAGAGTCTCGCTCTGTTTTAAAAGAAAAACTTGAACCAAATTAAATTTAAAGGAGTTTAATTGAGCAATGAACAATTTGCAAATCATGAACAATTTGCCCTCAGAATCATGGCAGATTCAGAGAGACTCCAGCGCAGCCACATGGTGGAAAAAGATTTATAGACAAAAAAAGGGAAGTGGGGTATAGAAATCAGAAGTGAGGTACATAAATAACTGGTTTGGTTACCACTCATCGTTTGCCTTATTTGAACACCCTTTGAACAATTGGCTACATTTGACTGGCCACAACTCAGTGATTGGCACAGGTCTGGGCAACCATCTGTTTACACCTCTACTTGTTATAGTTCATGATGTACAGAAAAGCCTTTAGGCTGAAATTACGTATGTAAGGAGGGATCTTCAGGCTAACCTTGATTTAACATCTGTCGCCCAGGCTGGAGTGCGGTGGCACAATCTCAGCACAATGTCAGGGTTTCTCCCGCCTCAGCCTCCCGAGTAGTTGGGATTACAGGCACGCACCACCACACCCGGCTAATTTTTGTATTTTATTAGTGATGGGGTTTCACCATATTGGCCAGGCTGGTGTTGAACTCATGACCTCAGAGGATCCACCTGCTTCGGCCTCCGAAAGTGTTGGGATTACAGGTGTGAGCCACCATGCGTTGCTGGTTCATTGTTTTGCTTTAGGTGTGATGCTTTTTTCTTTTTTGTTTTGTTTTGTTTGTTTGTTTGTTTTTAACTGTGGCTTCCTTCAATATTTTCTTGTTGTTTTTCTGCAGTTTGAATTGATATGCCTAAATGTAGATTTTTGGTATTTACTCTGCTTAGTCTTCTCTGAGTTTCCTGGATCTGTGATTTGGTGTTTATCACTATTTTTGAGAATTCTGAAACATCATTACTTCAAATAGTTCTTATGTTCCTTTTTCTGTTTATTCTCCTTCTTGAATACCCATTATCTATATATTACATTTTTGGTAATTGTCCTACATCTCCTATTCGGTTTGTTTGTTTGTTTGTTTGTTTGTTTGTTTGTTTTTGTTTTCCAAATTTTCTTTTCTCTTTGCTTTGCAGAATTGGAAATTGTTATGGGCTAAATTGTGTCTTCCAAAATGGAAGAAATACACTGAAGTCCTAATATCCATTACCTCAGAAGGTGACTATATTTGTAAAGTGTATCTTAACAAGGTCATCAATATTAAATGAGGTCTTTGGGTGGACCCTTATTTAACATGACTGATGTTTTTATAAAAAGAGGAGATTAGGACTCAGACACATACAGGGAAGGCGGGCATCTACAAGCCAAGGAGAGAGGCCTCAGGGGAAACAACCCTGATAACACCTTGGACGTCTAGCTTCCAGAATCATGATGAAATAAAGTTTTGCTGTTTACCACACCCAGTCTCTGGTACCTTGTTATGGCAGCCCTACCGAATGAAGACACTCGAAGCCATTGTTTATATCTGTTACAATGCCTTGAGTCTCCAGCATTCCATTTTGATTCACTCTTTGAGTTTCCATCTCTCTGCTTACACTGCTCATCTGTTTGTGCACGGTGTCCACTTTCCAGTAAAGCCCTTAGCACACTTGTCATAGCTGTTTCAGATTCTTGTTTTGATAATTCCAAAGTCTCCATCATATCTGGGTCTGGTACTAATGTTTGCTTTACCTCTTCAGCGTATGTTTGGAATGCTTTGTAATTATTTGATGAAAACTAAAGATGATGCATGGAGTAAAAGGAACTCAGGTAAACAGGGCTGTAATGTGAGGTTTTATGTTTATCTGGATGAAGTTAGCCTGTGTTTATACCTGTTATAGCTGTAGCCATCAGAGACTAATTTCCTCTAGCTTCTTTGTTTTAGTCTCCCCTGTTGTCTCTAGATTTCTCTTGAGAATCCTTCTTAAATAGTCTGAGCTTTGCAGTTCTTTTCAGCTGTAATTCTCTGCTATTACTGAGGAGCCCTGTTGATTTGGTAATGTGTGGAGAGAAGAGGACCATTTTATGCTTCTATATTTAAGTATCAGTCTTTTAGTGGGCTTGCGACCCTAGGCTGTGAACTTCACAAGTACTTCTTAGCTTTCCCCCAAGTTAGGTGAGACAGGAAGATTAGAGAGGCCTGCAGTTGACTATTTTCTTTCTGCCTGGGTGGTAAGGGTCTGGTAAACCCAGGTTTGCTAAGTACTTTTCCTTGAAGGTAGGCCTTTGTTAATGATGACAGTGTTCTGGGAATATTAAAAAATAATTATTCCCACCTGATTCCCAGATGGAAACACAAAAGGCTCTTTCTCTGATTTTTGCCTGAGAACCTGGTGGTACTTATGGTTATAAAACACATATGCATATGGGGAACTGTAGTTTTTAGCCTCTCAATATAGCCCATGCTTAGCCCACAGCAATGAGTCAATGACCCTTTAAGTGTTCCCAGCAGGATCCAGCTGTGGCTTTTTCTTCCAAGGAGCTGCAGCTCTAGGTATGTACTTGCCTGTCTCTCCAGTTGTCATGATGATGGTTTGCCCTGTGAACTCTTTTCTCTGATAAATTTATGAATATTTGTTGAATTTCAGCTTTCTCAGTTGAGATAAACAACTTTTGAGCTGTTTACATTTCAGAGTAGAAACCAGAAGTTCACAACAATGCTTGTTAAATTAAGTCTGACTAATATTTAATTTTAGTCTTCCTGATGCTACCAAACTGGAAAAGGCAGGTGACAGACTGAAAATCAAGAGTGAAGAGAAATTCATAGTGTAAGGTTTTGAAGACATTAGAGAGAATCAGCACCATAGGGTATGTCTCCTCCAGGGTCTACTACAAAGAAAGGGCCAGGCCCACTAACTAATGATGGAACACAGAGAACCCGAGGAACCCAGGGATCCCCCCATGCTTTAACTGTGATGGGAAAAACCACCTGGATACTAGGCAAGTCCTCTGCAAAATCTCCAAATCTGAGAGTTTCTGAAGCAGGGGCTCTCAGTCTTAATGCACATTAGAATTAACTGGAGATATTATAAGACTCCTGAGGCCTATATAACACTCAATCAAATTAAATCCATAAATCGGAATCTCTGATGAATAAAGCCAAGTTGTCATTATAGTTTAAAGCTCCCTGGATAAGTTCAATATTCAAGGATGGCAATTACTGTTCTAAAACATCGCAGGAACAAATTGAAATCATGGTGAGAGCTCACCAAGTTTTAGACTTTATTTCTAACATAAGTGGCAAAAGGTGCATTTACACCATCCCCAGAGATACATGTGTGCCCTTGAGTGGAGACACAAGCAACACACAGCTTCTTCTTTTTGGTAGCACCTTATTGGTCTTGGTTTTGTTTTTGGTGAGGCACATGGAGAGTTTGTGTACTTCATTTACGGGCAGACCATCAATCAAGGGACCAGCCTGTGGACGATGAGCTGAAATCAGCAAGACCACTCAGCAAGATTCTTACGTGGAATGGCACACGACATAGCATGATCTACCAGAAATAAATGATTTCTTTTGCTATTCATATTTTAAGATTCCTACAAGACGTTGATAAATGTAATGAAAGTACACCAAAAACCCCGATTTTCAAAATAAAATTAGAAGCATGTGATTTTTTAAGCGAAAGTCATATTAGTCTCACACAGCCAACAAAATCTCAAGTGATATTCAAAGAAAATGAATATAAAGGGGCATTAAATTATTAGCTGAATGAGAGTATATCTGTCCACTCAGGCAGGCAGCAGCATTTGGTAGAGTGGGGTGATGGCTGGTGGATTCGTGGGTGACAGTGGAGGTGAGCATGAGAAAAAGAAAAGAAGCAATATTTGCTGTAGGTAGTAACAATATCTGCAGTAAGTAACTAACTATGCTGATGACAGGATTTATTTCAGCCACTTGGAATTTCTGGGAGTTACTGTGGTAGAATCAAAACCCTGCCAGGGCAGGTTATGATAAAAATCAGGGAGAGTGGGTTACCCTTGGTGTAAATTATATTAGAACCCTCAATCTGACAGTGCCTGGGGTGATGGATCAACTTGGAATTGCTCCTGTCTGGTTGAGAAGTGAGTGTACCTTAGTTGCATTGGAGGCAGGATGCTAGCTCAAGGGAGAGTGAGCTGAGGATACAAATGTAGTCTCGTCATTGTGTTTCCTTGCTCAAACACATGCTTCGGCCTCTGAACAGAATCACAATTCTGTTCAGACCCTAATTTCTTTTTCTTTCTTTCTTTCTTTCTTTCTTTCTTTCTTTCTTTCTTTCTTTCTTTCTTTCTTTCTTTCTTTTTCTTTCTTTCTTTCTTTCTGTTTCTTTTTTCTTTCTTTCTTTCTTCTTTCTTTCTCTCTTCTTTTCTTTCTCTTTCTTTTTCTCTTTCTTTCTTTTCTTTCTTCCTTCTTTCTCTCTCTGTTTCTCTCTCTTTCTTTTTTTTTGCTTTTTATTGTCTTATCAACTAGCATTTTAACATTATTTTCCAGTTCTTCTGGCTACTGAAAATAACTCATGATAGAAATTAGGACCGTCAGAATTGTCAGGATGCCAGGCCAGACCTAAATGACATCAGGGTCCTGCCCATATTATTTTAAAGTCCACTGAAAATAAAAGAATAGCTTCCCACCGTGCTTCCTCTAATGTGTGTAAGCTTTTATTAACTTTACACTCAGGGTCTTCTTTGTCAAAACCACTCATCTATTCCTATGCAATTAATATCATTCTCATCTCATTTCCTACTCGGTATCTAAAGCAGAAATCATCCCTTTATTGTCTCTATCAATGGTGCACAGACTGTATTGATAAACAGTGAGCCAGAAAATGGATTTCTGGTTAATAAATTTGGTAACTGCTTGGTTGACAAAGTTAAACAGGGCTCTTTATTGATGAACCTCATTACGTTCCTGACATATTAATATGCATTGCAACCCACCCAAGGAGTCATAGTATGAACTCTTCCTCAGGGTTATTTCACCCTGGAATTGATGACTGTTACATTCGACAAATATGTGAGCACATTTTAAAAATTTATCCTTTCCACTTTACTTGGTAGCACGAACGTGTTCTTTACGGCATATTCACAGCTGAACAAGCTATCATGCATCTGTATGAGGAGCATGGTTACACTCACAGGACGACCGGCTTTTGTCTTTGAAGACTCAGGGCTCATTTAGTTGCCATGGGTTGTCACCATCACCATTCACATGCCAAACCCCTGTTTCTGCCAGTCTCTCTAGAAAGAGACACTATCTTGCCAGGGCTTTTAAAGTTTCACTGTTCTTAATTCTTAGTGGGAGCCACTAAAAAACCTTAGGGCAGTGGCTGATGAGGTCTGCAGGACCATGCAAGTTCAACTAAAAGAAACACAGAGTGAGAGAGAGTGACGTGGTTCTGAGTACTGGGACTAATTAGAGAACACTACTGTGGGGGAAAGTGTTTTGGGAAATGTGACAAAAGCATAAGTCTCTATATCTTTCATCCTTTTCCCAACCACAGTTATACAGTAGATTGAAACCGACAGCAGACAATCAAAATCAAGGTCAAATGAAAGGCCTAGACATCCAACCCACTGTCAATCTAGAAGTTGTGTAGAGAAGGAAGAGCTGAGGACACAATTTCACACGGATCAAAGACCACGGGGCCAAGGGTGCTGCAGCTCATGCCTGCTATTCCAGCAACATGGGAGTCTGAGGCAGGTGGGTTGTTTGAGTCCAGGAGTTCGAGACCAGCCTGGGCAACATGGTGAAATCCCATCTCTGCAAAAACATGTTTAAAAATAGGAGCCAGATGTGGTGGCACGTGCCTGTGGTTCCAGCTGCTTGGGAGGCTGAGGTGGGAGGATCACTTGAACCCAGGAGGTTGAGGCTGCAGTGAGCTGTGATTACACCACCGTACTCCAGCCTGGAAAACAGAGTGAGACCGTGTCTCAAAACTAAAACAAAACAGAGGAGTGAGGTGGATTCCTTCGGAATACCCTGAGCCTGCTTCCACATGTACCATCTCACAACCCTGTGGTCATTCACTCTTCCTTCCTTCAAGAGGCATCTGTCTGCAGTAGTCAGTTTATTCCAGCAAACAGATCAGATGGGCGGTTCAATTCTTCTCCAATCACGTTACACACATATGGCCTAAGTTACATCCGGAAAGCAGTGAATGTACTCCCCTATCAATTTGGAATTCAATGTTAATAAAGTTATTCTGATCATTAATTACCTTTGTGTTCACAAGTCAAAAATCAATCTATTTTAACGAATAGTCTTACAAAACCATCAGTGCAACTAAAGGTGTATTAGACTTTCCAGGTTCTACAGACTGTATCCAAAACTGCATTTTCAATAGTGTTTAATGGAAGCTCAATAACATGCCCAAGAGGTTAGAGCAGAAATATGTCCATTTAGAGTCCTTGAAGGTCAAATGTGGAAATAATTTTAACAAAATGCTGCCTTAATACATTTTATTTATATTGAAAAATGTAAATGATAAACAATGCATGTTACAATAAATGGATTAATCTCAGAATGTTATTAAAAGTGATTAGATACTCAATAATTTAGTAAGTGAAAATGAGCTAAAAGCAGGTATAATTCCTGGTAGTGGTATCTGGAGTGTCCAGAAAGTATTTTTGATTTAATGAGAAAGGAAACTGTCTTTTTCAGTGTTACTGTGTGGGCAAAAATGTAATAAGCTGAAGAGTGATGTTTGGCCCATGAGGTTGGTTAAATATAGATTGAATAGCCCTTATCTGAAATGCTTGAGAAAGAAATATTTAAGATCTTGGATTTTTTTATATTTTGAAATGTCTGCATAACAGACGTATCTGGCTGAGCATCTCTAATCCAAAAATCCAGAATTTGAAACCCTCCAATAAGTACTTCCTTTGAGCACCATGTTTTAAATTTTGGAGAATTTGAATTTTGGATTTTTGGGTTAGGAATACCCAAGCTGTCCTTTCTCTCTCCAGTTGTTGATGGTCCCTTACTTCTACATTATGTGTAAGAGATGAAAACTAGGATTCAAGTTTTGGTGAATTTTTAAATTTGTACGTCTTAAAATGACTGGTAGTGAAAATTGTGTGCCACCTCTTACAATGCAAAGTCCCTGCAACCATTTACGAGTCCTTCACTTGTGAGACCTCTGTCAACCCGGCAACCTAGTTAATTATACAGAACCAAACCCAGTTCTGGGCAAATTTCTTGTGCATGCTTCCAATGAGGTCACACAGGACCCCTTGTAATAAGGCTCTCCAGGCTAGTTTTAAGACTCTGATGTCCCCATGTTATATTTTTAGCAATTTTCAACAAGGGGCTTCTCATTTTCATTTTGCACCGGGATCTGCAAATTACGTAGCTAATCCCGGGTTTCTTTTTCCCCCCGGGCTAATCCCACACGGCAGCACTGAATCCCATGTTTTTGTATATATGGTCAGATTGATTTTCTACTGTCTGACGATTAAAATTAACATGGGGGGCATTACTTCACGATAAAAGAACATTTATTAAAGCGTTATGCATAAGCAACATCTATTTTCAAATTCAGTGAAGATTTCAGGTATTTTACAAATATACAGCATGTATTTAGCTATAAGATATGTATTCAGCCTTGTCTTTACCAAACTACCATGTTTGGTTATTCTAGTACAGCAATAATCGCTATCATTTTTATTTACTTTTGGTTGTTTGCTTTAACATGCATTGAAAAAAAAAAAAAACAAACAAACAACATGGTCTCACTGTGTCTACCTATTTCTTCCTTCCCTAGCTTTCAGCAAGTTGAGTGCGTGCCAATATGTCCATGAGTGAGTTTACACACATATACACACACATACATACACACACACATGCACACAGGGGAGCTCTCTCTCTCACACACGTACACACTCACATATACATGCATTCAGATATTTATTAATTTTAAATTGCAATCTATAGGTGTGACGCTGAAGCTGTTGAAAATGTTTGTCTTTCTGTAACTTTTCTCATATGCAGAGTTTATATTTTGCTTGTGCCCCATACAGTATAATTTAAAGGTAATATGATGGGTACAAAAGAATATATTTTGACAAATAACTAAGCTGTGACATAATAATCTGATATCAGAGCTTCCATCTGTCAGATGCAATTGTACACAAAAGACAGAAAGAATCAAGGGACTTCTCTTTAAGGAAATTAAATTATTATGTGGAGAATATTTCAAAAACATGACGTGAAAGGGCAGGCACAGGCGAAAGTGTTCTTCAGATGTCAGTGGCTTCCTGAATGATCCTGGGTGAGATAAATTGTGGTGATGCGCTTGTCTTGTGTCTAAACTCTCATCCTGCTGGTGTCGGGAAATAAACTCCTTTTGAGCAAAGGACCTTGCTCCAAGCCCCAGAGCAGCTGAGGCAGGTTGTGACTCAAGGCTTTTAAGGTGATTCAATCCTTCCCTGTACCACCTAGGGCTCTGCAGGGCTAGATGCAATGTTCCCTTTTGTGTTCTAAGATTTTTCTCTGATAATTAAGACAGCAACTAGTACCACATTTTGAGGCATCTGCCTATACAAATAGCTCCTGATGTGATGACTGTGGAAGCCGTGAGGTTTTGTACATTTTCTCAGTGGGCCAAATGTCACGATGCAAAGTATCAAAGTTCTGAATTCATTTGAACAAAAGGTGGAAGAGACCTGGAACATTTGCACTGAGAAATGAAGATGAAGGGAATGTGCTGACAGATAAAAGAAGCAGCATCGCTGCATTTGTTTAGGTGGTTTTAAAGGTGCTTTGCCATAAGTAGTCAATACATTTAGATAAACTTCTTTCAACGACTCTGAATTTAAGTAATTTGGAGACTAAGAATCTTATCAAGTGGCATTTCGCATTTTGTTTTTTTCCATGCAATTTATACAGAACCAATAGGTATTTGACCTTCGAGAAACCTGCATTAAATCAATGTTACATTAGGGTCTTAATGCCATTAGCTCAATAGCCACATGCCTAGGTATTTTCTTCTTTCACAAGGTCGGAAATCAGTAAATAAAAAAGAGATAATTAGCAGTGAATACTTGCTACTCACATTTTGTGTACACTACATTATCTCTTCCCATTGAAGACTTGCCACTATAGCCTATCACGCAAAAAATGTAAGGAACATCCTGTACATTGCGCAGCCACGGGGCCTTCCTCGTGACCTCACATATGTTTCCAGGGCAGCAAATTCATCTGGAGATAGCACACACTTTGATTTATAGTTGGTCAAAGACAGACTTCTGAATTACACACACTAAAAAGGCTAAAACACACGTTATACTTTAAGTCGTGAGGTACGTGCGCAGAACGTGCAGGTTTGCAGGTTTGTTACATAGATATAGACATGCCATGGTGGTTTGCTGCACCTATCTACCCGTCACCTACATTAGGTATTTCTGTTTTATTTTATTTTTTATACTTTAAGTTCTAGGGTACATGTGCACAACGTGCAGGTTTGTTACATATGTATACATGTGCCATGTTGGTGTGCTGCACCCATTAACTCGTCATTTACATTAGGTATATCTCCTACATTAGGTATTTCTCCTAATGTTATCCCTCCCCTAGCCTCCCACCCCCCGACAGGCCCTGATGTGTGATGTTTTCCTCCCTGTGTCCATGTGTTCTCATTGTTCAACTCCCACTTGTGAGTGAGAACATGTGGTGAACTGAGGTACCTGGTTCATCTCATTGGGACTGGTTGGACAGTGGGTATTTGTATTTTTAGTGATTACGCATTTCTACCTCTGAATCTGAAGCAGTAGTTTTATCAGTCAAATGCCTAGTGACTAGAATATTTACAAGGAAGGTAGAGGCCAGCACCAGAGTCAAGAAATGCAGTTTCCGCAGCTTCTCACTGCTTCTGGCTGTGTTACTACCAGAGCTCCTAGGTGTCTGTCTGTTCTGGTCATAGTAACAAAATACCACAGACTGGGCAGATTATACAACGCACGCTTATTTTCTCATGGTTCTGGAGGATGGAAGTCCAGGATTAGGGTGTCTTCTCTCTTCGTGGTTCATAGCCCGCTGTCTTCTCTTTGTGTCTTCACAGGACTGAGAAAGAGAGAGAGAGAGAGCTTTCTGGTGTGTCATCCTACAAGGACACTGCTCCTGTGGGGTCAGGGCCCCACCTCCATGACCCCATTGAGGTTTAATTGCTTCCTCAGTGGCCTTGCCTCCAAATACAGCCATGCTGGAGGTCAGGGCTTCAACATATGAATTTTGTGGGAACACAGACATTGAGTCCGTAACATCATGGCTACTCAGCTCCATCTCCCCAAGGTGTTTGTTGTCCAACGCTAACATAGGAGTCAATTGATATCCTTGAGCTCAAGTGGCATGACCGGGTGGCTGGGCATCCAGTCTCATGATAGACAATTGTATTACACCAAAATAACTTTTAACACCAGCAAAACAGTCATGAACTAGAGATGAATAAAGATAAAAATAACCCACACAATTTGTAAAAATAAAGTTCTTCCTCTGAATCATCTAGGGGAAAGTAAAGGAGGGAACGTTTTTGTGTGTTCTATGTGATGGCATTTATGGGTCCAGGGCCTGACTTAGCAACAGGCTGGAAACAGAAACCTTCAACCTTCACCCCCATTTATCTCCTGGGTTCTTACCCACTTTGCTGGGGGAAAGATCATGCCTGGCCTTGTTTTATTAGGTAAAGAGGTGACAAAAGGGGAACCCACAAAACAACCTCACAACCTCCCAGAAGGGCCTACCATTTTCACACAGAGTCTGATCAGATTGCTAAAAGTATTCAAAGGTGTCTTTGTAAACTGAGACCCCTGCAAGGTAGAATAGTGTTGTCTGCAGCTGTGTAAAACAATGTAAGATATTTCTGCTATAAACATGACACATACCTCCGAAAGATGTTATATTCTGCCAAATGATGGACTAAAAAACCACAAGGCTTATAGGAAAGAGGAGTTCAGGGCCAAACTCTCCTTGAGGCTATAAATGGCTAACCCCATAACCAGAGCCCTAATTAAAAACAGCTGCCTCCCGATGTGTATGGACCCCTCTCCACTGGCTCGGCCACCACTTTTGACCCACTGTTTTTGCTCCTCAGAGTGGCGGAGCTTTAAGAACACTTATTCTAATAGAAACCTGTTTCATCAAAATTAAAAATACAACTCAGGGATAACCTTTTCATCAGTTAGTATTTTGACACAGGAGAAAAGCAATATCTTGGTTAGATTGACATTTTTTATTTGCCCTGTCTACACCCTCCCTTTCCCAAAATATGTGCCCATGTGGATTACAATGGAATCACAGTTGGTGGCTGAGTCTTCCATTTTGAAAATATATACTTTACGAAATACTCAGCCCAATAGATATACATACTAAACAACCTATAAATAAAAGATCAATAAATGAATGGATGAAAAACACGATATAAATAAGTGATTTTATGTGGAATTTTTGGCATTAAATATTGATTTATTCCTGTAAAAGAAAAAAACAGGAACTAAATCCCTATTATAGTTAACCCTCTTGTCACATAACACTTTGCACAAGGATAGCTGAAACCAAAATATGATTTCCTGTAAGTAGCAGAATGAGAGGGTAGAAGAGATTTAGGGCCATTTAAAGCAATCTTCTAACAAAGTGTGAATCTTAAACATGAAAATATCATACTAATGCTCAAAAGTAACCTTTAAGCTACTGAGGTCTTGAGAAAAAGTAAAGCTTGAATTCACAAGGTGGGTATTGAACTTTGGGGTTTTCTTGTCCAAGTATATAGGAAGATTGATAGGACTGGATTTGGTTTCCTCAATAGATATTGGAAATCCAATCACTCTGTGAGAAAGAGTTAAAGGCTTGAGATAATAAGTAATGACGATTTCTCTGGAGAAACCAATCCCAAATTTCAGTTCAAAATTGAAGGGGACATTGCAAAGAATAAAATAGTCCTATCATTTATATATTTTTTTTCTTTTTTGCCAACCTGTGATTTTTTTCATTTATTATTTCAAATCCTTACACATCTCAATAACTAGTTTTCCGTGGACGTCTTTCTCCCCATTTATCTTTCCTTCCAAATTACTACAGACATACAGGGATTTTCCATGAGCAGAATAGCTGGGTAAGAGAGAATGTAAACTCTGGAATTAGGATGATGAGGGTCAAAGCCTGGTGGTACCATCATCTCCTGGTCCTAAGACCTTCATCTTTTCAACCATTAATTTTCTCAGTTTACATATGAGGTTCGAGTAATGCAACTCTCTATATAAGGAAAATGAGAATATTTATCTGATGGGGTTATTGTGAGGACTCAAAGAGACAACCTCCGTAGCTAGTTCCTGGTGCCTAGTAAGTACTCAACAAATGATTGGCATTACTAATATTACTGCCGCTCCCTAAAATAATTTTCTTAATAAGCATCAAGAAAAGAATCACTCTTCATATTAAACTTAAGGAACAGTGTAATTTAAATAACTGTAGTTACGTTACTTGTGAATGCAAAGAAAGAAATCAAACTTCTCCCTAGGAAAGGTGCGTAGAGCCAATTTCATGTTTACCCTGGTGGAATAACCTAGGAGACAGATACCCGGAAGCCATGTCATTATGAATGAAAAAAAGAAACAAACAAACAAACAGAAAAACCACTGGTGCTTGATGTCAATGTCCAAATCTCCACTGCTAGAGGATAAATCAAGAGAAGTGAAAATGAAAATGTAGAAGCCTCTTCCAATTTCCAGTGCATTATTCATAAGTATTACAAAATCGCTGGACACGTTAGAAAAACTTGTTACATTTATCATCTCTTTGATTTTCATAATGTCCTGTGGAATATGGATTATTATACTAACTTGACAAAAGAGAAAACTTAGGTTCCTGAGAGGGTGATAAGCAAATTAACAGCCAGGATTACACAGTCCCTGCATCTCTTCTCCAGTCAGCTGCATTTACCTTTCACTTAGGTGCTGTCTGCAGGAATAGCATCAAGGACAAAGTCCCAGAATGGGCTTATATTCAAGAGTTTGTTTCTAGAAAACGGAAGTTATCATTTGAAAATTTTTATGAAAATACACACATGAGGGGGAATTCCAGGCGTTTCAGTGTAGTCTGTCGATTTATTTATTTTTCTTCTCTTTCTGCCATCTCTGCTAAATTTTGCTTTTCTCTGGAACATCCTCCTCAGTTGCCCTTTATCCGTCTGTTTCCTTTGTTGCTTTTTTTTCAGTCTCTTTGTTCTTTTTTAATTTTTATTCTAAGTTCCGGTGTGCATGTTCAGGATGTGCAGGTTTGTTACGCAGATAAAAGTGTGCCATGCTGGTTTGCTGCACGTATCAACCCATCACCCAGGTATTGAGTCCAGCCTACATTAGCTATTTACCCTAGTGCTCTTCCTTCCCCCACCCAACCCCTGACAGGCCCCAGTGTGTGTTGTTCCCCTCCCTGTGTCCATGTGTTCTCATTGTTCAGCTCCCACTTATAAGTAAGAACGTGCGGTGTTTGGTTTCCTGTTCCTGCGTTAGCTTGCTGAGGATAATGGCTTCCAGCTCCATTCATGTTCCTGCAAAGAACATGATCTTGTTCCTTTTTATGGCTGCATAGTATTCCATGGTGTATATATACCACATTTTCTTTATCCAGCCTATTGTTGATGGGCATTTGGGTTTGCATGCCTTTGCAATTGTGAATAGTGCTGCAATGAAATACGTGTGCAAGTATCTTTTTAATAGAAAACTTTATATTTCTTTGAGTATATACTCAGTAATGGGATTGCTGGGTCAAATGGATTTCAGTCTTTGAAACTCTGTATTAATTACTGCTCTTTCTAATCTGACTACTGATTTTCAACTCTTGAATGAGAAAAAATAGAAAAATCTCAGCAAAGCCATTGAAGTTTTAAAGTAATCGGTAGAAATATAGTTGTGAATAAACATAAATAAAAAGCTTGATGGATACCTTTGAGAGTAGAGAAGAGATGACAGAGGGTGAACTCAGTGAACTTGATAACAGTGAAGTCACCAAATCTGAACAATAGAAGAAATTAGACAGAAAAAAAAATAAATAAATGAACAAACAGAGCCTCAGGGTCCTGTGAGATAACTACCAAAAATTTAACGTTTGTTTCTTCTAAGTTCCAGAAGGAGAGGAAAGACAGCAGGGATGAGAGGTCTTTGAAGAATTAATGGGTAAAAACTCTCCAAATTTGGCAAAAGGTAAAAACCTACAGATCTTAGAAACTGAGGATTTTTTTTTTTTTTTTTTTTTTTTTTTTTTTTTTTTTTTTTTGTGTGGAGTCTCTCTCTGTCACCCAGGATGGAGTGCAACGGCGTGATTTCGGCCTACTGCAACCTCTGCCTCCCGGGTTCAAGTGATTCTCCTGCCTCAGACCCCCAAGTAGCTGGGATTATAGGTGGGCGCTACCACACCACCACGTACGGCTAATTTTTGTATTTTTAGTAGGGACGGCCTTTCACCATGTTGGCCAGTCTAGTCTCAAACTCCTGACATCAGGTAATCTGCCTGCCTTGGCCTCCCAAAATGTTGGGATTATAGGCGTGAGCCACCGAGCCCGGCCGAAGTGAGGGCACTTCAAATAGGAAAAACTACCCCATCCTTCAAAGAATGCAAGAAGACATAACATAATTAAACTTTTGAAAAGTAAAGACATGGAGAAAATCTTGAAGGCAGCAAGAGTAAGGATGCTGAGGAAACAATGATGTGAGTGACAGCAGGTTTCTCATCTGAAACTGCGGAACGTAAAGGGGAGTAGCATGATGATCTTCCAGTGTTGAAAGAAAATTACTGTCTATTGCAAACGCAATGCCTGGTGACAGAAACTGAGTAGAGGAAAAATAAAGGAGGAAATAAGAGGGGAATACAAGCATTTTCATATAAGGGAAAACTAAAAAAGATTTATCTCTAATAGACCTACCTGTATTGACTGACTGAAGGAAGTCCTCCACACAGAAAGAAACCTTACAAATTAGTGAGACTAAATGGCTTTCGCAAATTCGCAAAAGTCCTGGAAAGAAGAAGGAACAGCAGATGGAGCTGAGCAATGAGTAAACACAGTAGAATGTCCTTCTGAAAGGCCTCTTGCATCTTGTCTAAGTTAGAGGGAGTGTTGGTTCTTTGCAGTAGCCATTTCCTGAAGCACTAAAGGGTGCGATGTGTTTCTCAGTTTCCTGTTTTCCAGTAGCTCCGGACCAGGTGAAGTTCAGCAACCTCGCTCCAAAGCCTTGCTCTTCACATGTTGCTTCACTTCACTGACTCCTTTTCCCTTTAGTCTGCACCGAGGAAAGGCTCTGTTCTAATGGTAGAAATGGAAGATGGCAAAGGGAATAGAAAACACAACTTAATCACAAAATAACAGAACAAATGAGGAATGGATTGCAACCAGTGTGACAGAGCCAGTGAGCATGGGATGGACATCAAAGCCCATTATGGGCCGGGCTTGGTGGCTCACGCCTGTAATCCCAGCGATTTGGGAGGCGGAGGCGGGCGGATCACCTGAGGTCATGAGTTCGAGACCAGCCTGGCCAACATGGGGAAAACCCGTCTCTACTAAAAATACAAAAATTAGCTGGGTGTGGAGGTGCTTGCCTGTAATCCCAGTTACTCGGGAGGCTGAGGCACGATAATTGTTTGAACCCAAGAGGCGGAGGTTGCAGTGAGCTGAGATTGCACCATTGCACTCCAGCCTAGGTGACAAGAGTGAAACTCCACCTGGGAAAAAAAAAAAAAGAAAGCCCATTATGCATTGTGAAGAGAAGGAGATTTACATGAACACGCACCACTGATGGACGCTATCCTTTATGGCAGGGGCCCCCAACCTCAGGGCTATGGACCAGTTCCTGTTAGGAACATGGCTGCAGAGCAGGAGGTGGACAGCAGGCAAGCGAGAAAAGCTTCATCCATATTTATGATTGCTCCTCATCACTTCCATTACTGCTTGAGCTCTGCCTCCTGTAAGATGGGGGCAGCATTAGATTCTCGTAGTAGTATGAATCGTATTGTGAACTGTGCATGTGCGGGATCTAGGTTGCGTGCTCCTTATGAGAATCTAATGCCTGATGATCTGTTCCTGTCTCCCATCGCCCTCAGATGGGAGCATTTAATGCAGGAAAACAAGCTCAGGGTTCCCACTGATTCCACATGATGGTGAGTTGTATAATTATTTCATTATATATTACAAGGTAATAATAACAGAAATAAAGTGCACAATAAACGTAATGTGCTGGAATCATCCCCAAACCACCCTCTCTCAAATCTGTGGAAAAATTTTCTTCCATGAAACTGGTCCCTGGTGCCGAAAAGGCTGGGGACCACTGCCTTATGTGGCTTTCAGGGTAAATAGGCCGCTGCTCGTTACGGTCTTTTCCAAAGTTGAGGCTCATGTTTTTCAGTGGACCTTGTGCACTTGTGATGGGGCCCTTTCTTTGTGTCAGCCATGGGATAACGTCCTCCTGCACCCATGCAAATGCACATCTCCCCAGTGAGGCACGTGCACCCACTAGAAGGGCTGTCGGGGTCTAAATGGGGTGTGTCGGGATAACCAAGGCCTTCTCCATGCCCTCGGTCAAACTGAGGAAAGCTTGTCTCAGATTCTCAGGACTATACTTTCACAGCATGATATTGCAGGTGGAGAAACGTTTCCTAATAAAAGTGACGGAAACTCAGTCACTATGCCATTTAAAGCGAGACTGTACTAAGCTCTAGAATTGTGATGGAGGAAATTCTTGTCCTGGCAGGCAAGAGGGATTAAATCAACAAACTATAAAGGAATGAAAGAAAAGCAGTAATTCTCTTTGATGCTTTTTTAGCCCGTTCCCTTACTAACAGAGGCGTGCATTATTTGCAAAAGTCCTGGTTGTTTCATATTTTCCAACTTAAGTGAAGCATTTTATAAGAAAAAGAGACACACTTCATTAATAGCTTTATTTCTAAACTAAGCAACTCTTTATATAAGGATGGTTTAATATTTCAGGGGCTGTGGATTAGTTCATCAGAAAAATGAACTCACGTACCTGCAAAAACTTGCATGCAATTTACATAGTCATTCAATCATCTGGAAACTTGCACAGAACCAGGTTAAAAATCTCTCCTTCTATGATATTTAAAATTTTGACTTCATGGCTCATCTGGAAGGTTTTCTTACATGATTAGGATTCTTAATATTTTAGAGGAAGTTATTTTATTATGATTCTTACCAGAGTTTTTCTTTCAGTTACTTAGGCATTTTCTCAAGACCACTGTAGCTGTTTGAAATCTGGCAGATTTCAAATCTGCCTTTGAGAAGCACTCTCGTTCAGTGGACAGCAACATGGTGTTATGGCCTGTGGCTGTGGATGGGTCACCCAGTCATCAAGCCATATTTCTTTGGGTAGAAATGATCATTTCCACAACCAAGGTTATCAGGAGACCAGATGACGTCATGAGCACACATGCAAAATTTAGTTGTAGAGGGACATGTAAATGTTAATTGTTAGTGTCCATGGTACTGGATAAAAAAGCTAGCCCACAATGAGAATTCAAAAAATGTTTCCTGAGTACATGTGGGAAAGTAACTCTACTCTAAGTGGGTTTTTGTCTAATTAAAAAAATAACGATGTATATAGCGTTTTGCTGTTAACAAACAGGCTTACATCCACTGTCTTGTTGGCTGTCATAGTAATGGTCATGTTGGCTACATTAGTTCACATCTCAATGTCTACAATGCCAAAGGAATGCGAGCAACTTGGAAACGTCTTTGTTAATAAGATTGGTCCAAATAACTAACGCTTGTACAAACCTTCTTCATTTTAACAGTGTGTTCCCAGAGAGTACTCATTGTACTCTCAAAATGACCTGGGTGGTGAATCGAACATGTATCATTGGCACAGTTATTAAAAAGCCAAAGGAATTAAGAAGAAGTGAGACTAAATGGCTTTCCCAAATTCTCACAGCTTGTCAGTGGACATCAGTGCCTTGAATCCCGATCTGCTTCCTCCTGGTTTATTTTCTTCTCCTCCACCTCTCCTTGACACCAGATCCACCCAACAGCAGGCTGAAGCCAATGAGTCTCAGATTTAGCTTCTTTCTCCTTTCTCCAGAGTCTCCACTGCATGCTCAGACGAAATAGTGCACCCACTCTGCTGCTTTGTCCATGAAGCTGGGATATTTCATCAGGCTGATCCTTCTCTCTTTCCCTGACCTTAATTTCTGAAAAAACAAACAAACAAACAAACAAACAAACAAACAAAAACACCCTCAGAAGCACATTCTCTGAATGTCTGAGAAGCTCTCTAAAAGACCCTGTCCTACTAATAAAGAAACAGTCAGGAATCTGTAACTCACAGTCTTGGGAACACATGGCACACCCGTGTGTCATGCACGGGTTTGTGAGTCCCTGTGTGTCCACGTGTGTATGTGTGTACATGTATATTTTCTCCTTGACTCTACCCACAAGAATAAGGTCCTGCTATCTAGTTGTAGATACTTACACATTCACATTTGCCACACCTGAAAACTGATTCTTAAGTTTTGAAGCAATTTAGTGGGGTTGGCTCTTACCAGAGCCCTGGGCTGAACTGGGGGAACTTTTCCAATAAAGGCGGGGGTTCATTTTCTTCTCCTCTACCCCTCTAAGGTTTGATGGTCAGTGGTGTGATATTGGGTGCCTGAGTTCTGCTGGCATTTGTGGTTCCCACAAACAAACTTCGGGCTACACTTTTGGTTCCACAATTCAGTAAGCATCAAGCTCCTCTCTTTCATCTTCTGAATTAGCTTCACAAACACACAAAAAATTAGGAGAGAAGGGAAATTGATCAGTCCAGTGATAAAATCTGAGTTTCCCAGGTAAAGCTTCCTTAAAAATGACTTTAGTAGCAATTTGCTCTGATCAGTTTTCCAAACTATAGTGTAGCTTGATACACAAGAAGTTTTGCTTCTTGCTGTTGGGGTGAGGACAGAAGTACAAGACACCAATTCCAATTATTATTTCCAGTTAAGACCTGCCAAATGAAGAGCTTGGTGCACAGTTGTAAAAACACTTGCAGCTTTAGGATAACTTGGAATGGTTGAATTTGAGTGTATGTGATGTTGGGTGTCTCATTATTCAGACTACCTTTAAAGCTTGCTTCCACAAGAGCAAGCTTAAGCACAACCAAATTTTTTCTTTCTGGTACATTTTTGTGTCTGGCACTGCATTTCCCACAAGCACTGGGGGCTTGGGAGGTTGACTGCATCCTTTCATTATGGTCCAAATGCTAACAGTCCCCTAGAAAAGGCCAGGTTCCAAGGAATCCTGCCATACATCTGTGACCTGTCTGTCACAAAATCCCTCTCTGCTCCCAGGAAGCCTCCAGTTTCTTTAAGGGGATGTGTGTCATTGATGGTGGGTTAGGCCCTGTGTCTAGATTAGTGCTGACTTATTCTCAACCTTGACTGGCCTAGTAACCTCAGAAAATGCTGCAAATTCCTGGCACTGCCTGGGGTGTCCAGTTGCTGGTGATTTTCAAGGACCTGTCCCCTAAGCAAATGTCTCTCTCTATTCCCTGATTACCATGTTTCTGCAATCACCAGAAGAACAGATCCTGATCCAGGACTGAGTGTGATGATATAGCTCATGGTGAGCCTGGGCACTGCGTTCTTTAATACAAAGATCCCATTCAAATGTTCCACAGCCTTGGAGGCACTGCTCAGCCCTCTGCACTTCCATAGTGCGAGGCAGTGTCCTTTAGTCCTCCTGGGCCTGCTCCCTGGGGAGGAGCAGGATAACTGCTCTATTTCCAGCACACAGCAACCCTGGTTAAGAGGATCTATGTCAGTATCGTTTTCCTGTCTCAGAAATTCAGCCACACTCAGCATTTCCTTTGGTCTGGCATCTGCACTGACAACCTTGCAGAGATGAGGAATGAGAGGTCCCGGCGTGTTCTGCTCCGGCTCTCACTGCCTGGTGGTCCCAGTTCCGCAGCCCAACCTGCTTCTGTGCCCTGTGAAAGCTCAGATTCACACAGGCTGCTCTCTCCAGAATGAGCAAACCCTCAGGACATTCCTCCACTTGAGCAGTTCCTGAGGCTTCTGAACAAAATCCTTTCCATACCATCATGACATAAGCATCCTCTGTTTAAAGGAAAGTCGAGCTTACATCACAGAGCACAGATTCATAGGTGGAAAATGCCTGCATCCAGCACACAGGGTCCCTCCCTGCCTGTAAATGATGGGGTGCAGTTAATCCCATTTGACAAATGAGGCAGCATGCAACAAAAGTAATTTTAATTAATTAAGGGATTCAGAGAGATGAAAGAGTGGTCCTTCGTTGTCATCTTTTCCCATATAGTTTATAAGAGCATGACAACATCTTACCAACAAAGATTTTGCTGTGAGGCTGGGAAAAACGCCCAGTGTGTCATGGTTAAGAGTAAGGGCTGCTAAGATGGGTTGCCTTGGCCTACGCTGCAGGGTGGCTGGGATCTCGTCACCGACAGGCCACTGCTACTCCCACATCCCTTACCGTGTCCCATTTTACATTTCACCCTCTCCCCTCTGACACATCCATTTTGGGTAACCCTTCCTACAATCAACTGGTACATGTTCAGTAAATACAAACTTAAATCTGTGAAACTTGGGTCCACACTTGAAAAAGCTTTCTTAAGCAGTCTTCTTACCAAATGCAGATTTGTTTGAGCATTCTTTTGGTAGTCATCCCTCCAAATGTGTGCACATGTTTTCCCCCTGCACCTAGAATGCTCTTTCTCCTTGAAGTTCATGCTGAACTCTCATCTTTCCTTCAGGCTCACCCTAGGTCTTGGCATATCAGGAAGTCTTCAGTGGCATCCCTGGAGGCAGCAGGATGAAATGTACAAAGCCTGGACCTCAGACTTTGGTGTTCATCCTGTTTCTGATAATTACTTATGACAGCCAGGACACAGCAATTCATATTTCCTAGCCTAAGTTTCTGCATAAGCACATACCTGCCACAAGTTTGTTGTTAGTGCCTGTTCTCTTTTCTTCAGTCATGCAAGAACCTTGCCTGCTACTTCTGTATCGTGGCAATAATTGCAGAACTTTACACTTTTCAGATGTTCGGTGTGAGCTCTGAAGCTGCTGCTACTGTTGATCACACAGTGGCGGTCACCTACTCCTTCAGCTCCCACTGCAGCATTGCTCCATATTTAAAAGGGATAACCCAAGAATTGACGACGTTGCAGTAACTCAAAGGATGATAACTTGCTTTTTAAAGAAGCTTTTCCAACAGGAGAGATTTTGCATATACTATTTCAGGAAATATTTGAAAGGATCTTATTTCAATCAGTAAGAAAGAAAGGACAATCCTTCAGGGGCAAAAAAAAAAAAAAGAAATACCTTTAAGCTCAGAGGCAAAGCTAAAAAGAATGGAGAGGAAGGGTGCTAAAACCTCTTGTGTCTTTTCAAGTTCAAATTCAGTATTTTCCATATATTGCTTCAATTAATTCTCACAGCAATCCTGTGAGTTAGAAAATAGATTCCCTTTTAGGGACGAGGCCAGGAATCATTGCACTTGGGTAAATGCACAAAGCCACCCAGCTAGGACATGCAGGAACTGAGACACAGACTCAGATTAGCGAGAATCTGCATTTTGTCTACATGAAGAATTTCTCCATGTACTGGATGTTGACTAGAGAAAGCAGGCATCATCAGAAGAAACAGGCCCTGCGAGGTGAATCTAATCCTGAACTTCAGACACTCTCTCGGGCACATCTCTTTGTCTCTCGCTACCACTTTGCACAGCGTACTGTCCCTGAGAGCCCTTGTTTTCTCAATGAAAGGTCAAATTACATTACAGGAATTGAATATCACAAGCCAAACCCGTACAAGCGTCTTCCATGAGTAAGGTGCTCTTACTCTGCAAAGCCTCCAAGACTCATAGGGCAAGGCTTGACTAGTAGAATTTCACACATACTGATATTTAAAGGGTATTTGGAAACTTGAAATCTATACCATATCAGCAATCACATGATTTGCCTAATTTTAAGGTCATTTAGAAAAGAAGCGAGCAAGGAATGTGGAAAATAACTCGGAAGTGGAGGAAAAAATGGTGGAAAGAATCCCAAGAAGTCTTGTACTCCTGAGAAGGCCTCCGTCTCTTTTGTTTCTCCCAGGCTCAGGCCCTTCATTCATACTGTCCGGAGAATTCCTCCACTGAGTTACAGTTCACAAAATCTTTGAAAAGGAGAAGGCAAGGAGGAAGAGTCAGTACATCCCACTTCTATTCACCTTCTCCACCTGCCATACAACCCTCTTTTGAGTGCATGAAGCCTGCAGAAGCAAGAGTCAATGTGTTCAGATGCAATGTCTGTGGCACCCACAATGTCCGGGACTGCGTGAAAAGCCATTGGTAACAACATGCCAGTTTTCAAGTTTGAAGTATGGCTGTGCTTTATGTGTCTTAAAACTCAGAGAAGGAAAACACTTTAGCTCTACATTTTCTCAATACAAGGGAATTATCAAGTGAGAACACGGCATCGCTGGCAAGATGAAACTGATGTAGCACAATGGATGATATTACCATCTCCGCCTCACACCTGAATTTAAGACATTTGTAGGTAGAATGAGTAGTTTTAGTTTTGTGATCACTGAACACTTCACTGTTTTTTTATAAAGAAGGTATAAAAAATTGGAATTGTTCACGTTTACAGATAAAGACAAATGCAGTGATTTGTATTCTGAAGTTGCTGCCGAGATGGTGTGTGCACGTGTGTATGTGTGTGTGTGTGTTATTGTGATTGTTTCATTGCTATTCTGGCAAGCTAAATGTTTTTATTTTAATTTTGCAATGTCTTTCCTGTGGAGAGCTCACCAAACTTATACAGAGCATGACAATATATGGTATTTTGTAATAAAAAGAGGAAAATGGTAAAGTAGAGGAAAATAAGGAAGGTGAGAATCACAGAATTTTAGATGTAGGATAAGCATTAGCCCAAACCCTTGTTTTACAGATAAGAAAACTAAGTCACAGAAGTGACGTGGTTTTTCTGAAAGTGAGAGAATAGCATGGAGTCTAGTGCTTCTGAAATCCAGTCCCACTGGATAATGGTTACCAGTGCAAGTCCCCAGAAAAAGCCCCTCATCACCAGTATTCCTGCTTCAGTATTCCTGCAGCTGCTAGAGCCAGATAAGCACTTATTTGTGTTTTTGTTTTGTTTGTTTGTTTGTTTGAGGCAGAGTCTCGCTCTGTCGCCCAGGCTGGAGTGCATTGGTGCAATCTTGGCTCATCACAACGTCTGCCTTCTGGGTTCAAGCGATTCTCCTGCCTCAGCCTCCTGAGTAGCTGGGATTACAGGTGCGTGCCACCATGCCCAGCTAATTTTTTGTCTTTTCTTTTCTTTTCTTTTCTTTTTTTTTTTTTTTTGGATCTTTAGTAGAAATGGGGTTTCACCACGTTGGCCAGGCTGGTCTCGAACTCCTGACTTCGTGATCTGCCCGCCTCAGCCTCCCAAAGTGCTGGGATTACAGGCATGAGCCACCACGCCCGGCCTTATTTGTGTTTTTATGACAATATTTAGCACTGGAGGAGCAATGGGGAGTCTCTTGTTCCTTCACGGATCTACTGATGGGCAGTATCAGACCACGCTGATAGCTATTCAAAGCATCTCTGCCCTAGGTGTTCTTTCCTGCAAGAGGAGAGCGTCATTAATGAACATTCAGAATGTCACTTCACCTAGTTCCGGACGAGCTTTTCCAGCTTGCTCGTGTTCCACAGGACTTGGGAAACAGCCAGGTGTGAGGCAGCCTTTCAAGCTGATCTTAAAAGTCATAGTCAGTAAAACCCACGGCTTCCCCACATGGAATCCTGCTGGATTCACCTTGAGACAATCTGGGAGACGTTGACGGAATGTGTTTCTTTTCCCTACCAACATCCAGTTTGCAGCTCCTAAAATATGGATCAGAACAGATGGAAATGCCATTCTCCATCTGGGTTTCTTCTCTTATTCTCTCCCTTTCAGAGACTGACTGAATAAAAAAGGAAAATCATATTTTTGAGGGTTTACTATATATCAGGCATTATGTCTATATTGTTTGGTTTTTCCAACAAGTCTATGAGGTAGATCTCATTATCTACATTTCAGACCAGAAACTTACACCTAGATTAAGTTTCTTCTTCTTTTCTTTTTTAGGTCTCTAGTCTAGGAAATGGCAGATACGGGATTCAAAGCAGGTCCTATGGGTTCCACGTCATCCTCCATACCAGTGGTTCTCACAGTGGAATCCTGGATGCATCAGGGTCAATTTGAAACTTGTTAGACATGTATATTCTTAGCTAGGCGTGGTTGCTCATGCCTGTAATCCCAGAACTTTCTGAGGCTGACACCAGAGGATCAACGTGAGCCCAGGAGTTCTAAACCAGCCTGGGCAACATAGTGAGACCTTGTCTCTACAAAAAATACAAATTAAAAATTAGAAAAGAAATGTACGTTATTAAGTTGCATCCCAAAGCTTATGCTGTATCAGATCCTCTGGGGTCGTGGTCAGGAATCTGTATTTTCTTTTTTGTTTTTTTTTTTTTTTTTTTTGAGACAGACTCTCGCTCTGTCGCCTAGGCTGGAGTGCAGTGGCGCGATCTCAGCTCACTGCAAGCTCTGCCTTCGGGGGTTCATGCCATTCTCCTGCCTCAGCCTCCCGAGTAGCTGGGACTACTACAGGGGCCTGCAACCACGCCCGGCTAATTTTTTGTATTTTTAGTAAAGACGGGGTTTCACCATGTTAACCAGGATGGTCTTGATCTCCTGATCTCGTGATCAGCCCATCTCAGCCTCCCAAAGTTCTGGGACTACAGGCGTGAGCCACCGCGCCTGGCCAGGAATCTGTATTTTCACAAGCCTTCCAGGTCATCGTGACATACGCTGACGCCTGCAGTGACCCTTCATTCGGCTACCTAACTGTGCAAGGAGAGAATTTGCAGTGTTGTCATTCCTCCCAGTGGATCATTCATAGTGTGGGTTGTCCCTTGACAGCTCAATTTGTCACGTGTATGTGTATGGTATACATGTGAAAGGTGTTAATTTATCTTATAAAAATGGGAAGATGATGAACATTTACTTATCAATCCAGTCAATGAGGATAGTTAAATAAATCTAAATTTACCTAAATAAATAGCTGCAAACGTTCACAGTTTTTGTTTGTTTTTTTAATGGCTTAGGAAATGGTCTGTGCTGGAGAATGCTCCATGTGTACGTGAAAGGGGTGTGCATTCTGCTGCTATTGAGTGGCGTCCTCTATAGATGTGTCTCTCTGTTCTTTCAACACACCACAGTGGGGGCATAGCCCCATGTGTGTGTGTCGGAACCTTGGAGTCCGGGTATGCTTTTCAGTCAGCAAGGGATAGGAGGGGTTGGCTTTTAAATACTGATGTGGCCAAAGGTTTGAGTATCGCGTGCATTGTGGCCCTCAGCAAGACGTGACCCCTTTACGAGTCCCCTGGTTTCTCAAAGCCATCATGTCCTTATCACTGGAAGGAGGACTGATAAAGACAAGTATGGTATCAATGAAGTTATGCATAAAGTGCCTTTGTAAACAAAACGTGATTGTTTTGACTTCTGCTTTTATTCCTTAAGCTCTCTCACACTTTTGCTCACCCAAGGTAGACACTGCGCTGCTGGAAACATGGATTGTGTGGCTCGAATACTGACCCCTCTGTCAAGGAAACAAGTTTCCCCAATTCTTTAGTTGCCATCAGTTTTTTTTTATATGTGACATTAAACAAACCAAATAATGTCACATTTAGCCATCATGACAACACACCAAATTTTCTAAGATTTTCGCACATGTGCCGCTTTTCTAGCTAATTAGCATTCTCATCTGGGCATGTTTTAAAATTTTCTAATTTTATCTCAACTATCATGTTCATATTTTCTGCCCCCTCCTCAGATAATTCCATTTAAAATACACTCTCCCTCTTCAGTGGCTGCACTTTTCAGATGTTTATGTTGTCATCTCTCCAACCTTGTCTTAAATTAGTTGCTACCTGAATTTAGGTATGTCATTATCCCTTCCAGAACGTCAGCACCTCTTTGCCTTTAATCATCGCACTGCTCAACTCTCTGATCGGTCCCGAGTGCCAAGGGTATTTCTAGTGTTGCTTAGCCAGGTCCTGAGGCTGTGGAGAGTGTGAGGCCCAGGATGGGGAATGGAGTCAGTATACAAGTAGAGAAGTATGATGTTCCAGGCAGCACAGGCCCTGGCAGAGAAGTGGCCACAGAGCTTCCTGGTGTGACGTCCCTGGGCCCCCACACTCACTCTAACCACGTGTGGTTAATACTGCCCTAAGTAACATGTACTGGACTTCTGATATAGATTAAGGCTTTCGCAATCATTTACACATCAAAGTGTGTATGTATGTGTCGGGGGAGCTTGCAGTGTTCTAATAGGCTCAAGCTGGACCGCAAGGAGGGCACAAGAGTGTTCTGGAGGAGATTCAAAACGCAGGCAGGGAACCGCAGAGGAGGTCAGAGAAGTAAAACAGAGGGACCACTGATCTCTCTGCAAACGCCAAACAAGAAATATTGGACGCTAGATGGCAGCAGAGCCCCATGTTTTCCTTCCAAATTAAGCCAGCCTTGAGATCTTGGGCGAAAAATTCACTGTATAAACACACAAATACAACCATATCAGAAAACCAGCTTATTTTATTTGTCAGCCGTTTCATACCCTTCTCATAATCATGATCAATAAACAATTTGGTACGAATCATTGTAACTCTCTAATATACGATCGGGCCAAAGAAAATACCCCACATAAATAACAGCAAAAAAAATGAGTGGTTATTGGTTATCTGGACCATTATTTCTCAAGGCTTTGTATCAGATAGATTCTTTGCTCTCTGGGGAAAGGAGGTGGCATGGGACGTTTTTCAACAGAACACAGGAAAAGGGAAGTTCAGCCCGGAGCCTGTCACAATTATGTGGAAAGGTGTTCCATCTCTCAGGTGACACTCACCGTCGTTCCTGATTGGGATCCTAATCAAGTGAAAATCATCTATGAGTCCTAGCCTAGGATGGTTAGATGTTGGAAACGTTTTTTAATGGCAGAAATCCTTCTTGGTGACACGAGCCATTAGGAATGGCAGTGTAGAGACAGGGCACCGTTTCTCAAGAAGAAGTCAGCTCTTAAGCTCCTGAAAAGAGATCCGTTTTTCCGGATGAGGCGCTTGAAATGAACTATTGGAGCACTTAATGGGTCTTGGAAAGCATTTTTGTTCACTCGCTGACTCACAGATACTATCTGAGGTCTGATTTAAAATCCCAGAGGGGGCGACCCTCTGCTCCACAGGCCCGGTTCAGCCTGAAGAATAGAACTCAGGGGTTCTATGGGAATTCCCCCGTGACTGAGGCATTCTGTCTTCCGAGTGTCCCTCCAGGGATACATGAGGCAAGACGGGACTCTGCGCTGAGGAAAATCCAAGTCATGTTCAGGACTGCAACTCCAAGAGCACGCATTCTCTCCCTCCCCACCCACCCCATATTTAAATCTCATATATCTGCGAGGAGAAAAGGGTTGTGGAGGTGGCCCCAATTGTGGCCACCTGCACCTTAGGCTGCAGGGAGACTAAGAAAGTCAGGCTTCGGTGTTTCCATGCCAAGGTTGCAGTCCTTCCTGGATCCATTATGCCTTTCTAGGGTAGACTAGGTCACAGAGGCAGGAGCAATCTAAGAAAATTGAAGGAGGGATATAAAACTTTATCAAACTGTCAACCCATTTAATCTCAAAGACTGACAGAGGAAGTGCAGGTGGGATGAAGCGGTGGGCTGTCCCTCCCACCACAGGCATTCGGTGCTGTGGGGATACCGCAGGTAGATGGTTGTATACTCTAATGGTTCCAGGCCTGGAGGCTAATTCTCTCTTACTAGGGTATGGGATTTCCACGTTCTGTCCTCTGAAAGGGCTAAACCTTTTTGGTCAAGGATGTCGAATCCTTTAAATGTCCTTCTATGGAAACCAGCCCTCACTCGTGGTGTTTCTATTAACTGACCACCTTCTCCTAAAATGTCTCTCCTTACACGTTCCCCAGGAACTGCAGGAATGCCTCCTCTATTTGGGGAGCTGGGTGAAATCCAGTTTACTGTATCAAGTACTGCTATTCTAAAGCACTGTTCTCTCTCTGCGGGCTTCATCCTTTTGCAGAATCAGGGAGAACCTGTCTCTTCTCTTTTAAGGTCCCTTCCCAACCCACAGAATTTTATATATAGTTTCATCAGAAGCTGTGCCAACATGCCGGCTCTCACAACCAGACCATAATATTAATTCTAGAGACTTCCTCATGTCACGTTTTATCTGAAGCTGAAGTTTGGGCATGGCTAAATCTAACACAATCCAAAGTCAGGAAATGTGTAAATTTGTGTAACTCCTTGCAAATAGTCCATCTTGCAAAACATTATACATATCATCATATATATATATATATAAATGTATAAATATATTCCTCCCTTGGAGTTGAAGCTTGTGCCCTTTCCACCTGCATTTCTGATCTAAGTTAGGTAGGGGGCTGCTCTCTGGTCAGCAAGGAAGGGAGATCAAAGGATGGAGGCGGGACTCTGCCCCTGCAGAAACCCTCCAGTTTGCTGGAGTTGCCGGATTACATTGTTCCTCCCCGGTGTGCGGCGTGAGCTTCCCCCACCCGAGCGCCCAACAAGTCTCCTTTCTCCAGCCTGCGCGCTGCTGCGCTGAGGCCGAATGAAGCGCAGCACGGTGCGGGCAGCCCGAGGCCCCGAGGCTGGGCTCTGTCTGTCTGGGACTGCGCCGTGCCCAGCCTCGGTCCCCTCTCTGTGGGTAAGGATGGTTGAGTCCAGCCTCCACGGCAGCGGCTCCTTGTGCCACTAGCAGCCCTTCTTCTGCGCTCTCCGCCTTTTCTCTCTAGACTGGATCTCTCCTCCCCCCCGCGCCCCCCTCCCCGCATCTCCCACTCGCTGGCTCTCTCTCCAGCTGCCTCCTCTCCAGGTCTCTCCTGGCTGCGCGCGCTCCTCTCCCCGCTTCTCCCCCTCCCGCAGCCTCGCCGCCTTGGTGCCTTCCTGCCCGGCTCGGCCGGCGCTCGTCCCCGGCCCCGGCCCCGCCAGCCCGGGTCTCCGCGCTCGGAGCAGCTCAGCCCTGCAGTGGCTCGGGACCCGATGCTATGAGAGGGAAGCGAGCCGGGCGCCCAGACCTTCAGGAGGCGTCGGATGCGCGGCGGGTCTTGGGACCGGGCTCTCTCTCCGGCTCGCCTTGCCCTCGGGTGATTATTTGGCTCCGCTCATAGCCCTGCCTTCCTCGGAGGAGCCATCGGTGTCGCGTGCGTGTGGAGTATCTGCAGACATGACTGCGTGGAGGAGATTCCAGTCGCTGCTCCTGCTTCTCGGGCTGCTGGTGCTGTGCGCGAGGCTCCTCACTGCAGCGAAGGGTAAGACGGACTTGCTCCTGGCCGGGGAGGCGGTAGAGCCCTCGGAGGCCCCGTGTGCGGACGCGAGTGTGCGTTTTGGGGACCGCAGGGTACGGAGTGGCCGCCTCTGCCCGGCGCTGCTCCATCGCCGAAGCTCGGGGAACGCGATGCACGGGAGGGAGCTTCCATCGCGCTCTCCCCAGCCCTCCTGGGCCCCCGCCCCACCCCGCCATTCCTTCCCCCTCTCTTGGGCTCACAGGAGAGATCTCTTTTTCTCGGCAGTACAGGGTGTCAAGGAGAAAGGAACCCAATACGAGTTGGGCTGGAACTGTGCTCCGCCGGGGCGGTGTTGCCTCCTCCGAGACGTGGACTCCACGGGTCGGGGTGGCTGAGGGGCAGTTCCCAGGACTTTCTCCCCGGACCCGACGCGCCTGGGAAAGCGTCCCGGGTGAAGCCGGCCTGGAAAGTTCGGGCTCTCTACGGGGGTTTTGGTACCAATAGGCAAAGGTCTCCGCCGGCCCGGCCTCCTCGCACCCATACACCCCATTCCTCCTCTCCTCCTTCCCTCTCCAACGTCCTCAGCCGGCGAGGAGTAGCTGCCTCTAGAAGGTCGCCCCCGCTTTCCTCTCCCCCGGACTTCGCTCCTTGCAAGTTGTAAGGTGTTGGCAAGGTGCGTGAAACAGGCTAGGAGTTCTGGACCGGCTTCCAAGTCAGATACATTCACTGTGGGCGCACGGGTATCCTCCTTCTACGCTGGTCAGGGGAAGGAGTTTCTCTGGGTGGCTCCTGGGCTTGGGGCTCTGTGAGCTTGGTTTTCTCCCTGAATGAGTTGGGGAATGTTTTCTTCTAAGTAGCCTACAGGCTGCGACCTCAAGGCTGGCAATAGCTTGTGTACTTGTTTATTCTCCGGGAAAGAACATAAGCTCCCTTTTGAGACAGGGCGAGAAAGAGGGAGAGAGACAGAGAGAGAGAGAATACTGATTGGTTTTCACATTGGAAATACCTGCCCCTGTCCTCATTTTTAGCCTCCTTAGATGCTTTCTTTATCAGTCAGCACTTCCATAGATGTTCCCGGGAGTATCTGTATCTACAAAGGGTTTTTCTTTCGTTTCATTTTTAAAGGTTGGAGTCCAATCTTACGATTTTTTTTCAATGGTCACTTGCTTTTTTCCCTACATAATATTTCCCCGTCCTCTCTAGATTCTTCCATCTTCTTTTCCACCCATTTCCTTTTCCTCCAGTGGTCCAGATGGAAGAGTGATTGGCAGGGCGAAGGAGGACTGTATCTGGTTCATTAGGAAACTCCAGATCTGCCTGGAGAGCGGGGGAGAGACGTGCCGCCTGGGCTTCCCCTCCCTGCACTTGCCTCCACGGGGCGTCCAGGGCTCCGTGAAAGCTGACCGCTCAGCACCAGCTCCTCCTCACCGGCATCCACCCTCACAAGGGGGTGTCTGCGGGAATGCGCCCCGAGATCTCGGGGATCGCAAACAGTGGGTCTTAGTCACCCAAGCTCGTGGTCGCTCGGGACTGGGGAGCTTCTTGCAGACGCCGACCCTCTGCCCACCCGCCCGGCTCAGTCCGGATGCCTTGGCCGGTGCCTCTGACATTGCCGGCTGCGGAGGCAGCGCCTGCTGAGCAGGGCCCGACTGGCAGCGGCCTCTGGTCAGCACTGGACTGGCTGGGAATTGGAAGGCGAGGCAGCTAAAGTCTAGGGAAAAGAGGGTTGTGCCCTGTGAGGTGTGCTGGGGCGTGTGTGTCGCAGCGGGGTGAGGGCAGGAGCCCAAGGGACAGGACCTGGCTTTTTCCAGCCGAGCCCCTGCGTGGAGAGGAAACACCTGCCACGCAACTCCGCAAAACTTCCCGCCCTTTCCCCTGCACTCCAAGCCTAACTGGGCCCGGGGCTTCCTCCTTTCCAGGCAGGCAACTCAGCCTCTGAGCTCACTCTCGGTTCCCTCGAGTTCCGCACGCTCCGGCTGCCTTCCCCCGCAATTAGCAGAGGTTGCTGCGTGGAGACCGCGGCGGCCCTAGCTCGGCTGCTTAATAATCCGCACACGTGTGTGCCGGGCGGATTCCGCCCCCACGCGGGTGGGCTGCAGCGCTAGGATGAGGCTGAGGCGGAGGCGGGAGGGAGGGTGTGGAGGGCCAGGTAGTGGGCGGGGGCTGCTCTGGATGATTCTGGGGCGAACAGGGCAGGGGTTGCAAAGTCCTGGGCGCCTCGGGCCCTGCGGGGCAGCCCCGTGGAAGAGAGCTCCTCTTGCGCGCTGCAGGTCCCAGAACCTGGCTGTAGAAGCCGAGAAGTGGAGCCCAGGGTCCCAGGCCCCTGGCGTGCATGGAGCTGGAGAGGTGCTGTGCGCAAGTGTGTGCGCGCGGAGGGGGTCCAGGACGCTCGGACGTAGCTCTCACTGCGCTATTGTCTGGCCCACGAGGCAGTGGGTCCGTGGAGCTCCTTCATTAACCCCACAGGGACCAGGGACCGTGTCTCCTCCACGCCTGCGGGGTCAAGTGCGAGCTCCTGTACCGGCCTGGGAAGGGGCTGCAGGCAGGAAGGGGGCTGGTGACGCCAGCGCCGGAGTCGCCGTTTGTGCGCTCTGGCCATTGGGGCGGCGTCGCGTTCCCCTTGCCTAGCAAAGCCCGGGTGACCAAGGTCGGGCCTCCCCCCGGGGGCGTCGGCGCTGGGCCCCGGGGCTCGGCAGCGCGCTCCAGGGCCCACCGGAGGCGCTTGCAAGCAGCAGGGCTTTCCCGGGGAGGAGCGCTCCGGCAGGAGGGCGCCCGGCCACTGCCGTGGGCAGCTGCGCCGCGCGCGCCCGGGTGGCGGCTCCCGCTGTGGCGAAGGCAGGCGCAGAGTTTTTGATGCGTGGGGCATAATTCGTGACCTGTTTGCGGAGTCGTGAGGCTGGAGGCGGTCGCAGTTGAGGTCACTGGAACCCGTTACTGTGGGTACTTGAGTATCAGCTTCAGCTGATGGTGCTGTACTCTTCAATAAAGCGTTGGGGATATCGAAAATTCACTGGCGATTTCCTTTTTCTTCTGGATTATTAATGGCATTGTAAAGGTTGAATCCCAAGTGTGCCTTTCTCTTTAAATGCCTATTTTCAGGGACCAGGGGAAAAGGAGTAAGGCTGTAAGCATTTTCATCTGGTAAACAGGAATATTAATTCTGTGTATGCTGGCTCGTATCTGCCCCTTTACCCGGGGCTGATCTACTGGCTGTTTGGAAGAAGTTTCCTTCTCAGTTGTTTCTTGCATATGTGCAGCCATGAGAATGCAGGTATTTGCAGACAATTACTTACCCAGAAAGCGTCCTAAAGGAGAGCACACACAACACTACTACGCCAGAGCAGCCTCATTTTGAGAAGCCCGAAAGAGAAAGGTGGAACATTCGTTAAAGTAAGTAATTCAAACATTTCCTGACCCACCCAGCAGAGATGTGAGCACGCACTGCTGAGTTTCCAGAGAAACCCTGTAACTCCACCGCGAGAGAGGTGCGCCCTCCCATACCTGCATGGTTTTAGATGAGTTACCTTATTAAAGACTCATCCCACCAAGAAGTATGCTAAGACCTTTAATTTGCAGGTCAGACTCCTTTATGGCAGAGCCGCACCCAATACCCTTCCTCCTGATGAAGCCAGGACACTCCTGTGAAGAAGATACTTTCGCAGGAAACCCCTAATCCCCATCCAGCAATAAAAAAGTGGGCCGGATGCTGTGGCTCATGCCTGTAATCTCAGCACTTTGGGAGGCTGAGGTGGGTGGATCATCAAAGGTCAGGAGACCAGCTTGACCAACATAGTGAAACCCCATCTCTACAAAAAAAATACGAAATTAGCTGGGCGTGGTGGCGCATGCCTGTAATCCCAGCTATTCAGGAGGCTGAGGCAGGAGAATCTCTTGAACCCGGGAGGTGGAGGTTGCAGTAGGCTGAGATCGTGCCATTGCACTCCAGCCTGGGCAACAAAAGCTAAGCTCCATCTCAAAAAAAAAAATGTGAACCCCTTAAAATGAAGTTAATATCTCTGTATTGCTGAGCAGATCATGTTTTTTTCCTGTTGCATTATCAGGATATTATTACTAATTACTATGACTTCAAATCAGAACTGTTCAGCGGAAAGCTTTTCAGTGCTTCTGGAGCACTCATGTAGTTAGTCGCAAAAGGGAGTCTTTCTTCGGAAGTGACAGGTTTTGTAAACTTGAATGGTAGGGCAATGAGGTCTCATCAAACAAGTCCAGAGAAGCAAATGGCAAGTAGTGCAGGGTGGTAGAATTCCCCCATGTCTCAAGCATCTCACTGGCAGAGGCCTCGGGAAGAGAGAGAATGGCTATTTTTATATTGGCTTTCAGCTGGCCAATCATGCTTGGTAAGACGACTGCCACAACCACAGTGCTGAAGCTTCTACAGGCGAAAGCAGCTCCTCCCGGGGGCAATGCTTCCTTACTCTCCAGTTTATTGTGTCAAGCAAACACCAACCCAGCTTTAAAAATGTCAAGAAAATGGTTCTGCTTCCTTTAAGAAACAGATAAACAAAGCTCGGTGGCTGGTTCGTGCTTATAAGCAGACGATACAGCAAACCCAGTGAAGACGTTTCTAAGCTGTCAAAATGCAAATGGCATATTAAATACTCTCTATTGCGCTGAATTTTAAATCTGCCTCTGGTAATTTTTCTGCTGAGCTCATAGTGAAAATAAGCCATTACAAGTTGCATACATGCAATTTAAGCTACCTTTTCCCTTTGGCCTTTTGTATGTCTTCTGGTTGAGCTCACTTCGCTCTGTAAGATAACTAAGAAGTTGCATGCGTAGTTGCACATAGTAAAGGTCAAGTATGTCTTCTTTTTTAATTTAAGTTTTATTTGATCAACTAACAAATCAGAGGAAGATACTTGTGTAAAGGCGGAGATCTTCCACAGTCTACAGTATTTGTGTCTTTGGGTTGTATGGAAATATTACCAGCCTGTTGTCTCCTAGGATAGGAAAGTAGGAACTTGGACTAAGAGACCAGCAGTGGTAAACAAGTCCAACCAATCTGACGCTGTGGCACAGCCACCACAGCAACCAGGGGCAGATTTTTTTTTTTCTTTTTTTACTGTAGACCTGGCATGGATATGCAACCTGAGCCAAAGAAATAGAAATAGATGTTTCGGCTCTACTGAAATGAATTAATCCTCAAGGAACTCAACCTTTTTACCTTGCCTTCAATTACATGATCATTGTGCTTAGCAAACTAGTTGTCCATTCCAGAACAACTGATTGGTATAAAAATCAAATAATTGCACTTAGGTATTCATGCCTAAATGCAAGGAAGTAAGTCAGTCTTTTCCATAAGGACTTTAAAATGACCTTAAGTGACCTTTGATTAACCAGTATGTCTATTTTGGATGGACTTTAGTCCTTGATACTGAGGTTGGTAAGTAACGGAATTAAAATTCCCTTTACAGGAAAAAGAATAGAAGGACATTGTATAATTGAGCCAGCTGAAATTGACTGATTATAGGGAGCTTTATGGAAATAATGCACACCTTGTTTTTTCCCTCCAGCAGATCAACCTCTTTGGATGCAGAGTGTGAAACAGTTCTCTTTTCTGAGCTCAGTTGCAATTTTCTTTAAACCATTTGTATCAACCTGTACTTTATGGGAGAGGAAAATGCCATCAGTGCTTTAGGGAAGTTGCAGAATGTTTATTTATCTTCAAATATCTTTGTTCTATGAAGATGAGAGATTTTGTCATCCATTAGGCACCCTGTCTCATCCACCAACTCTAAATGTGTTGTAAACATTCCACCAAGGAATAACATTTCAACAAATTAACTTCAGTTAGAGTCAGTGTCACTTTGACCTACGGTGGCAACATTTATCCCCATCTAAAATTTCTTTGGGGAATGAAAAGAAAAAAGATCATGCAGGCATATTTTTTTGTTAAAAATAACTTACGTATTTTATTTTACTGATACATTTTGCAATTTACTGGTTGAAATCCTGAACTAGTTTTAGCTTGGTAAAAGTTATAAAAGGGAAAGGAATATTTCAGTGTTGTCATTCCACCCAAATATCCTTGGATACTTTGATACTTGCATCTTAATGCTCATAATTTGATACTTGATGCTTATAATTTTAATGTAAGTTTGCCTCATCCTTTGTAAAGCGGAGAGTAATGCATATAATGCTATGTTTTAAAAGCTATCATTATAATAGACATGAGATCAAGAACATAAACATGAAGGAGTCAAATTGTTGGTGTCTCTTCCCAGTTTTTTTCACTGTATTAGTCAGGATTCTCTAGAGGGACAGAACAAATAGGATAAATGTATATATAAAGGGGAGTTTATTAAGTAGTACTGACTCACAGGAGCACAAAGTGAATTCCCACAATAGGCTGTCAGCAAGCTGTGGAGCAAGGAAGTCAACAGTGCAGTCTTCAGCCTGTGGCCTAAAGTCCAAGACACCCCGGAAAACCACTGGTGTAAGTCCAAGAGTCCAATAGGTGAACACCTTAGAGTCCGATTTTCGAGGACAAGAAGCATCCAGCACAGGAGAAAGATGAAGACCTGAAGACTCAGCATGTGGGCTTTCTTTTAGCCAAGATGACAGTTGATGAGCTGGTGCCCACCCACATTGAGGGAGGGTCTGCCCCTCCCAGTCCGTTGACTCAAATGTTAATCTTTTTTGGCAACATCCTCATAGACACACCCAGGAACCGTAATTTTCATCCTCCAATCCAATCATGTTGACACTCAATATTTTATATTATATAAAATATCAGTCAGATTCCAGTGCTTTTTATTTTTTACTTTTTGGCGTGATATATTTTGGGGAGCTTCAACCTCAATGAAATTCAAGAAAAACTAATATGATGTGGATATGATAGAGATAACTACAACTTTTTGTCTGAATTATTCAGATAATTATAAACCATGAACCCCGATGGAATTAAAGCAACTTTGCAAGGCACTGAGCGTTTTCCTAAAGTGTTGCAGCAACCCTCTGCTTTCTGTACTGAACACGCCTGTCACCGTTATCATTATAGCTGTCAAAGTCAGGGTGGGCATGACACACAGTTTTTGAACACTCTATGTAAACTTTGTGTGCCTAAGAATTACTTGTTTCAATTTTGATTCAATGCAAATTCCATGGCTTCTTTTCCAAATGATTCTGAATAAGTGGATTTTGGATGGAGGTAGAAATCTATTTATTTTCTACCCACGCCCATCCCAGGTAATTCTGATACAGAGAATACACGTAATCTCACTTAGGGAATGCCACATTGGGTGCTAGGTAGTAAAATATGGCTTCTAACTTTGAGATAGTAAAAATGCAATGGATATATCTGTATATGTGTAATACCTGATGTATACTATATGCATTTATCTGTATATAAACATTATCTATGTATTATATATTTTAAATATAGATAGGTAGAGTCTATCAATCTGTCATCTCTCTACCTTCCTTTCAATAAAAGTGATCAAAATCTAATAACGTTTTCACTAATCTTTCACAGACCATTTAGCTCACACTGATTTCATGAAGAATATACTATACTATGAAATTGTGCAATTAATTCAGAAGATTTCTTCTTTATCATCAGTGCCTCTATTATCGGTATCCATCATTCAATGCTGTCTAATCTTCTTTTTTTTAATAGTTTTACAACAAAACAGAGATTCAAGCTCCTTGTCCATAATGTTTATATTATGGGGAGACTTCAGGGGATAATTATGCTCTTTCATATAAAAATACTGTTCGAGTGAATTATTTTTTTTCTTTTACTGTTTAGTATACTCTGATATCATTCGTGTTATATAAGAAAGGGCTAAATGTTAGATTAAAATTTGAATTATTTGGAGAGTGATCTCTGATGAATGAAAAACCTTTGAAATTAATTATAAATTGCAGGCAGTCATTTTCAAGATGACTGAAGAATGTCTATGCCTCTATTTAGAGAAACTTTTTCCTCCTCTTCTTTTTTAACAGAAAGTGTCTTCATTGATCTCTAACAAATGAGTAATTTTCTTCTACCTGAAGTTGATATTCCTGTAAAGGATGTCGGGGACTCTCATCATTCCCTTTTCTATAAAATTACACCTCCTTGATAGTTAGTGACATAACTGTGGTTCCTAAAATCTTTCCTGGCGGCGCTCTGAGTAAATTTTCACTTCCTGTGAAAATGGTGGATTCCACTGAAGTTAGAGTCTATCTTCACTTTTATCTCAAAGGATGGGCCTTATGAATGTTCAAAGTCCATCAACAATTTTAGTCACCACATTTCAAACTATCCCTTTTATTTGGTAGGAAAGTAGTGTACTTTGATGTATAATACAGCTGGGATAGTCGAGCATTGCAGAGTATGATCGGCACTTCACAAAAAGAAGAGAGACCTTGGCAAACTAAGAAGAGTCACATTTTTACAAGAAACTAACAATTCATCAGACAATTTCTGCGCACTCCAAATGTCTTGCAATTCTTGTTGTGTCTCTTTTCCCCTTTCTTCATAAAATAGAATTCCTGTGGACAACATAAGACCAATCCATCTGTGAGGGTATTTTGTTTTTGTCTTATGGTTTCAGCTATATTCATGAGGTTGCAGTTCACTTGTTCAACATCCATGCTCCATTTTACATGGAAACAATACAGATTTTGAATGTAATGCCCCATACTTAAAAAATATAAATAATATCAAGGGAAATTCAGGTGAGAATAGTCATCTTGTTACTGTTAGGTGGAATTAGTTTTATTGATTAATGTGATCTGGGTAGAACTACTGTGATTTAGGGAAGATATACACATTTTTAGTCTGATATGATCCTTAACAATGATGACTGGGGATAGGAAGAGAATTGGGAAGACTTGACTCTTGAAAAGGATTATACTCATAATTTTGCTCACCTAAAGAATTATGGCATGTGCCAAACAGAATCACTCAGTTCAGTATAACTGTAACGCATGGGCCCTTCCTATTCACCTACACCACATTTTTTTTTAAAAAAAACTTTTAAGTTCCAGGGCAGATGTGCAGGATATGAAGTTTTGTTACATAGGTAAATGTGTGTCATGGGGGGTTGTTGTACCGATTATATCATTACCAAGGTAGTAAGCCTAGTATCCATTAGTTACTTTTCCTAATCCTCTCCCTCCTCCCACCCACCACCCTCTGACAGGCCCCGGTGTGTGTTGTTCCCTTCTATGTGTCCATGTGTTCTCATCATTTTGCTCCCACTTATAAGTGAGAACAGTGGTATTTGATTTTCTGTTCCTAGATTAGTTTGATAAGGATAATGGCCTCCAGCTCCACCCACGTCCCTGCAAAGGACATGATCTTGTTCTTTTTTATGGCTGCATGGTATTCCATGGCTACATCACATTTTTAACAAAGAGGATGAATCTCTGAGTGCTTTCTAGGAGTTTCCATTTTGACTTTGCCAGTGGTCTTCCGGATGCATATGTGCCACTGCTCTGCATGCTAGCACATATATCACATGGCTCACTAGCATCTTAGATCTCCACCCAGGGGTGTGTTTTTTACTATTCCAGTTAGAACAGGTCAGCCCAAGGACACTAAGTATGGGTTTCTGTTCTGGCAAGAATCTGGGGGTTTTTCCTTCTGCTGTTCATCCTCCTTGCTGCAGGATCTTCTACCCACATAGAAGTGGTTGTGCTTTGTGCCCAGTCAAGTGGTTTGTTCTCTCCATCTATCTGGCAAGTTCATTCCCCTTTACAAAAGGCTATGACTACCCTAATCTATGTCAAATAATGGAGGAGGAAGGGAACAGGAACAACATCATGAACTGAAGATGAGGATGTTGAGGAGAAGCAGCCGGAGAACAGACAAGAAAACTTTGTGTTTTTCATTAGCTCAGTGAGGGCCAGTTGAAACGTCAAGCAGGTAAATGGTCCTATAAACACTGATGCTCAGGGCCACCCTTCTCAGACATTGATTCATTGCTCTTTAAAGCTGAAGGTCGGATCGGAAGCGTACACTACTGTCATGGGACTAGTCCCTGAAATATGCAGATTTATATGCAACTTATGTTAGGCCTTGCTCCTTTCTACTCTCATGCAGCCAAGGGGTCATATGTTTGTTTGAACATCATCTACTTATTGGAAGCTAGAACATTAGACATTTTTAAACATTTTCCCTTCAAGTCCTGTGATGGTTACTCTTGCTGTTCTGGAGTTTTTCTAATGACCTCCAGGATGTAATACCAACAGGACACTGAGTGTGGAAAGAAAAGCAGTTTTTGATTTACTGGCCATGTATCTTGTTTTCTTAAGTACTGTACATGCTTTTCTCTGTAGGGTACAGCATCTCTCTCCCAAACTGACTTTCAAAGTCCTCCATAATCAGTCTTTTCAAATCTGCCCTTGTGACTTCCAATTCAGCCAGGCCAGGTACACCCTAACTATACCTTCAGTTTTCTCGCCATTGAGGAGTTTTCTATTCCACCTCATCGACCATAACTTTGAGCTTTGTTTCCATGTATCTCAAGCCCACCCATCTTTGAGTCCACTTCTAGTTCTATCATATGTTGATCACCCAATCTCTCCTTGATCTAATTTTTTTGTCAGTTACTATGTTTAAAAATTATTAGTCATGATGTAGGAAACTGTAGGTTTAGGGTCCTTTAAAAAATGTTGTTCTTCCCCGTCTCTACCAAAAATACGAAAAAAAAAATTAGCTGGGTGTGGTGGCTGGCACCCGTAATCCAAGCTACATGGGAGGTTGAGGCAGGAGAATCGCTTGAACCCTAGAGACAGAGGTTGCAGTCAGTCGAGATTGCACCACTGCCTTCCAGCCTGGGCGACAGGAGTGAAATTCCATTTCAAAAAACAAAAAGTGTTATTCTTGCTTGCTGATTTTTCATTCATTTGTTTACATTGTTTGGACTTCATAAATCTTAAAGTCCTGGAGAACTGAAGGGCACTCTTGCAAGTATCCAAGCATCATTCTGGTTTCTTACACATTCACTGTTTCTTTAATAAATAAATAAATGTTCTCAGTCTATGTAATATACTTGATTCCAGCCATTATTTTTAGTGAGTTCAAATTAATTTGTCATCAACATTTTGTGAAAACACTCGTTGAAGAGTTGACCTAGGGAAGGTGTTGGTAAAGATTTCTTCCAGTCACTGTGCCTGCTTATTGACTCATGTACTGAGACTAGAACTTGTCAACATAATTAGCTTTGAAACCCTATATTCAAGATATTATTTTGCCATGCTTATTTGATTCAATTGTGTTTCTGTTTCTTGACTGTTTTTCTTTGTATACTGAGTAAGTTATCTGAGATGTTTGCATTTTTTTCTTCTGGTGACAATAATTTAATATTAGAGCTTGTTCAGCAGATATGCCAGCCTTCAATTGTCATTTTGATCTTCATGACTATTTTATCTCTCCGCTTTTTAATTTTAAAGAATTACATTAGAGGATTATGGAACAAAGAAGAGCTAATCAGTCTCTTTCTTTTACAACTGCAGTTACAAAATTACCTTTCCTGCATTCTTTGCTGGCAACAAGAGACACGGAAGGGGCATGTCGTCAGGGTGTTGAAAAGCTGAGGCGTCTACGGAACTGAAAGTATAAAAAGTATAGCCAAGCCGAACTTTGGGGTATGATCTATATCTCCTAGCAAATGTGTTTTTCTTTCAGTTTTTATGATGGATGGACAATGATAGGTCTTTTAAAAAGAGTCCATATAAAAATACTGTAAAGTGTTATATGACAAGTTGAAGTGACTATCATTTCTTCTTACCTTTTATATTTTAAGAATAGAACCTATGAGAAAGAAAGAAGTACCTAAGTTAAAGATGTGGTGTCATTTACTGTAGCTTCAAAATCAGAAGAAGAGATTTGAGCCACTTTTTAATGCCTTTAATGACAATACCCGTTCTTTGTCTCCAAATGAGGGAGAGAGACAGAAAGCCAACAGTATTTGTAGCAAGATAATTTTATAGCATTCTCTGTTACCCAGGTTTATCCTCTCCGCAGGACCAGATGCCACCAGGAACAACTCAAGAGCTAGAAAACAGAGCTACATAGAAGGACAGATTGGGGGAGCAATCTCCCATTTGAATACTTTTTGCATTAGCTAACTACTGTGTTGTAACATTATTATTGCAAACGCAACAGCTTCAAACAGCACACATGCATTACCTGATAGTTTCCGTGGGTCAGGGGTCTGTGCATGGCTTGGCAGCTTAGCTGGGTCTCTGCTTAAGGTCTCACAAAGCAGCCATCAAGTGTTGGCTGGGACTTCATTGCCACCTGAGGCTCAGCTGGGGTAGAATCCACTTCTAAGATAGTTGGGCAGCTGGCAGAATTCAGTTCCTTGCAGTTGTAGGAATGAGGCATTAAGTTTTTTGCTGGCTTTTGGCCAGAGTTTACCATCAGTTCCTGGGGGCCACACACGGTTGTCACCTGGGACTTCCTAGCATGGCTCAAACCAGGTTAGGAGTGGGGTTGGGGGAGAGAGAGAGGGTGAGAGGGAGACTCCACAGTTGAGTGCTACAATTCCATATGTAATCACATAATCCTGTACACATAATCACATGTAGCCTATCACTGTCAGTTTGCTGTGTTGGTTGAAAGGAAGCCACGGGTCCTGCCCACTCTCAAGGAGAAAAGGATCCCTAGGGCACGGACATCAGCAGGTGGGGGTGCCGCATGGCCCCCTAAGAGTCTGTTCACCACACACTCTTCTAGAAAAGTAATATAAAAAGATCATCTCACAGTCAGCAAAGAGCTTAGCAACCATTAAGTACAAATAGGTATTTTATAGGAAGAACAAACATAAATAATAAATGTAGGAAAAGATTCCCAAGTGTATAATTGATTGAAAGCAGTGCATTAAACATTGTCATTTTCCCCAGTGCATTTGTGAAACTCTAATTGATGATATCAGGTTTTGGTTGTGCACAGAGAGGACACTCCCTTATACTCTTGTTGGATATCTAGAAAAATGAGGGGAGGGGATAATTCGGTCCTATCAGTCAAATTCTAAATTATCAGATGTTTCAATCTAGAGAGTTAATACATCCTGCTCCAGTAGGGGCTTCTTCACTGTAGCCCCCTCTCTCATACTGAAAAGTTGGACAGAGCTTAAATGTTTACCATCCTAAAATGGCCAAATAGATTGTTGTATGACACACTGTACTGCCTTCATGAATGTGTTTCCATGGTAAAGCGTTTTCAGTTGAACGTTTCAAATAATATCTATATTTTGATCCCATTTTCAGGTACAGAAAAGGCAGGCTACTTGTACACACATGGGAAATATCTGCAAAGATGCACGCATCATGGTGTTCACGCTTGAATCTTGTTTGGTTTCTTCTAACTATGTCAACCTTCTCTAAGTGAAATAATAATTGTTAAATTTAAAAAAATTGAAGAAAAGGACAAGTTGCTCATACTAGTCCATGTTGCTGGGCAAAGTACAGATAGATAATAAGTTTTTTTTTTTTTCGAGACAGTCTCACTTTGTCACCCAGGCTGGAGTGCAGTGGTGCGATCTTCGCTCACTGCAGCCTCAACTTCCTGGGATCAAGTGATCCTCCCGTGTCAGCCCCCAAGTAGCTGGGACTACAGACCCATGCCACCACACTCAGCTCACTTGGTGTAGCTTTTTGCAGAGACAGGGTCTTGTCCTGTTGTCCACGCTGGTCTTGGACTCCTGATCTCAAGTGATCCACCAACTTTGGCCTCCCAAAGTGCTAGGATTACAGGCGTGAGCCACCATGCCTGGCTAGATAAGATTTTTGAATTCAAAGTGACCTTCCAGTTCACAAATTCAAGTCTCTCATTTATTTTTGTCCAGAGGATTTCAATATCTCACCCAAAAGGCAGAGCTCAGTCTAAGGAATTCTCCTTTCATTTTACAGTGTTTCTCCCAGGAGGCCCACAGGCCTCTTGAAAGCCTCCTCGCCTGACAAACTCCTTCCTTCCCACACACACAAGACCAGACCTGCCTCTCCATCTCACTCCGCCTCTATTGCTCCTTGCTGGGGCTCTAAGTGCAACTGAGGCACTGATTCTCTCCTAATGTAATAGGCACACAGCCCTTGTGGCTACACTCTGGGAAGAGCAGCATGCTAGGAAAGTTCTGGGCTTAAACTTAAGATTACCCAGGCAGCTGGATAAGCACAGTATCCAACCTCGAAGCTCAGGAGATGGCTGAGAGCTGTCACTGGTGACACAGAACTCTCTGTGTGTGCGTGTTACAGGGTTTTATTGCTTTGTATAGGAAGTAACGATAATTTATTTGAGGTAAAAAATGCATGGTTGTGATAACATTGTGTTAACTATTTAATTTATTTATTTATTTATTTTTTGGGATGGAGTCTCACTCTGTCGCCCAGGCTGGAGTGCAGTGCACTATCTTGGCTCACTGCAAGCTGCGCCTCCCAGGTTCACACCATTCTCCTGCCTCAGCCTCCCCAGTAGCTGGGAGTACTGGCGCCCACCTTCACGCCTGGCTAATTTTTTTGTATTTTTAGTAGAGATGGGGTTTCAATGTGTTAGCCAGGATGATCTAGATCTGCTGACCTAGTGATCCACCCGCTTCAGCCTCCCAAAGTGCTGGGATTACAGGCGTGAGCCACCACGCGTGGCCAACTAGTTAATATGTTTTATATCAATATGATTTGATCTGTATATTTGTCACTACAGAATATTTAATTCTGAAGAACTAAACACATTTTCACCACACCAACATATTTTGTGAGGACTGCTCCAATTAGAACAATTAGACAATTGCATTTTTAGATTTCTTAATGATTTAAATACATTGAAGGAAAAAATGATTTCAAAAAAGTGAAAACTAGCTCCTTCTTTAGGTAGACAGTGAGTATCTTATGATAGAAATAATTTCCCTTAGCTTTCACACACTCAAGTGTTCTAAAGGTACCTTTGACGGCATCTGCTATACGGCTAAGTAAGCTCGAGTTCCGTCTCTCCTCCTCATAGTGTGGCCGTGGAAAATGTTAAACTTCTTGACACTTGGTTTCTTTGTCTTTACAAAGGGAATGTCAACTGTGCTCAATATCATAAGGATTACAAGAAGAAACACATGTAAAAAGCATAGAACCACGCATGGCTCTTACTAAGCTTAAATAAATGTGAGCAGCTATTTTATTACTGCAACTAAAAAAAAATTAGACTCTCAGTTCTATGAGATGTGTCCTCCTAGTTCATCATTTGAACTTGTACATGAAATTTAGCTTGAATACAATTAGAGACTCAGTAGAGTCAGGTAGAAAAGACGTGTTTTAACATCATTTAACACCAGGAAGGCCTGGAAATTTGAAGTGACTATGAAAAGAACGATGAGAGGAAATAATAGGAAATTTTGCTCTTCAAAGTAGATTTTTAAGGTTTGCTACTACTTTCTCCAGAGTTATTTTTTCTAAAGATCCTAATGTCTTTGTGCTGACTGTTCCCAATAGCTCTGTCGCCCAGGCTGGAGTGCAGTGGCACAATCTCAGCTCACTGCAACCTCCGCCTCCTGGGTTCAAGCGATTCTCCTGCCTCAACCTCCCGAGTAGCTGGGATTACAGGCACCTGCCACCATGCCCAGCTAATTTTTGTATTTTTAGTGGAGACGGGGTTTCACTGTGTTGGCCAGGCTGGTCTCGAACTACTGACCTCAAGTAATCCATTCCCCTTGGCCTCCCAAAGTGCTGGGATTACAGGAATGAGCCACCGTGTCTGGCCCATATATTTTTCTAACTGCTTACTTTTGTTCAAAAAAGCACCAGAGGCTACTTTTGAGTGTTTTAAATGGTGTGAATTCCCAGTGAAGCCATTTGAAAAACATAGTTAATTTATTTACTTGGCAATATAGTAAATCTGTTAGCTTTTTCAAGGTGAGGAGCGGTTAGTGAAATCAAAGATGCTGGGTTTATTAACATCTTTAACATAAGTAGGGCCCAATTCTTTGACTTAAACATACCCTCCACCCAAACTAAACATAGAGGGCTTAATAATGTTAAGGCAGTCAGTGTGATCTGGCTTTTTCCTTCTGGCTTTAGATTCCAAGATTAGAGTGTCCTGACTCAAATTAGAGGGACCCTTGAGTTGAAAAAGCTGCTATACCTCCACCTGCCTGTCCCCCCTTTGAACACCTGCAATTATATCTTAAAAGGTTGGGTCTCTATCTGTGAGATCCCAAGTTATAATATAAAAATAAATCCCAAATTATGACATGAAAATTAGATGTTTCTTCCAGGGCCACGTGACTGAGACCTTTGGAATAGGCTACCCAGAACTCACGTGGCCATGATCGAGATACACACTTCTCAAAGTCAGGTATGCTGAGTCTGGCTGTAAAAGTGAATGTGTATCTCTCTCACATCGATTGTGGCCAAGCACACATCAACAGGGAAACCTCGTAAATACAGCACCTGTGCAGGACCCTCAGCAACAAATAGCTTGTGAGGTCTTGGGTATTGGACACCTTCGAATGTGTGAATGAATGAGTTGATTAAGTATTGATGATGGGTCTTCTTCCACTGTGCTTAGTCAATTCCTATCAGGCCAGCCCTATACTTATTCAGTAAAAGCGCTGCAGTATGCCAAATGTCTTTCACTTTCAATGCATTCATCTCTAGCAGGTGAACCTGCCTGCAACCTAATTTGTAGCTTAGTGACTTAGTTTTCAAATGGGACCTCCTTAGGAGGCGCTCACTTAACAATTATGTCAACTAGTGAGGCATCTGGGTCTGCACGTGGGGTAAGGCAGCAGCTGTGGGTGGGTGCGTGTTCAGGAGAGTGATTTCAGTGAGATCCACCCAAAGGCGGGCTGGAGCCAGCCACTGTGCGCTGTGTTCCCTCTCAAAGGGAGCTCTGTGAATTTACGTTTTCATGCCAATGTGAAGAAAGCCCAGAAGAGATGAGACCTTCTTTCCCAATGTGCATGAGTCCGTGGACATGCACCCACCCCTCACACACAACAGTCTCCTCCAGCCTGAAATCCTTTCAACTTGTGCCATGAGGAGAGCTGCTCAGTGGGCCTGGGGTAAGTGCTGCTGCGTTTTCAATCAAGGTTAGAAGGGCGTATAACCCTTCTTGCCTTATTTCAGGAAGAATGTTAAGTTCAGTCTTACCTTTGCAGAAAGAGTTTTGCTCTCACTTGGCTTTTATTGAAGGGAATATGTATTCAATTAAATATAAATTAATATAAACAGAAAATAGTTAACAAGGAAAAGTTCAAAACAAATGATCATTACTATAGGAACATTTTAAGGCCAGCTGTTGATATAAATGTGCTCCATCTTGAGAGAAACGCCAATATAACTGTTGATACTAAAAGCTGTATAAAAATGAGCATTTTGCCAACACATAATATGGTCAGTTCGAGTACACATGGGAGACATCTGACAAATTGCTCTATTAGGAGAGAAAGACAACAGCATCTGCCCTCATTCCACTGCTTCAGAACACACTTGATGCTCTGGAGGATTTTTTTTTATGTTTATAGCTGACCAGCAATGTCCCTCTATATTTCTTTAAGCACAGTTGCCCCAAAGTGGCACTTACTTAAATGAATATTTAATAAAAATATCAGTGAGAGGAAGTGATGTGTCATATACCTACCATATCACATTTGCCATGAAAGTGAAGCTCATTTCCAGCAAGGACATGCTGGACATGGCATGGGGTATATTAAAACAAATAAAAATGCTGGAGTAAAATACCTTCTCATCCTATTTAGGGTGGACGAGGGTCATAGCAAATGAGTTTAGCACACAATGTGCTTGTCTTTAAGCTGTTTATAAATTGTTGCATTATTTTGGACATACTAACAACAAATCAGTCCCAATAATTTTGTAAGTATTGAATGCTAGGCATGCCACAGAGGTAAGGATAAAAAACAACGTAATATTATAGGAGCATTGTGAAGTCAGTTTTTGTATTTTTTGTCAAAATTGTATTTAAGAACAAACTTTCTTTATATTTCATTAAAATGCCTTCATTAATTTAATGTAGTATGTAAATAGATAAGATAATTATGTTAAGATGTATTGAAAGAAACTGAGAGAAGGAACAGCTGCAACTTCTGAGGTAGCTACTCCATACATTTGTAAATAAATTATTACTTGTTACGCAGGTGTATTGCTTAACTCAGAGGTTTGGGGTATGGATACTCTTGTCACCCAGGCAGTGAGTTAGGGTCCAATAGATGGTTTTTCAGCCCTTGTCTCTCTGCTCCCTCTAGGATTCTCCAGTGTCTGTTCTTCCCTTATGTCCATATTTATCCAATGTTTATCCCAGTAATAGGTGAGAACATGTGTCAACCAATTATTGACACTTATGCTTAAGAAATTATTACCTGCAAGTAAACAAAAGCTCCAGTCCAAACCAGAAAGGGTTGAGTGTCTGTTGTACACCTATTTCTTTTTCAAGCAGATTTTCTCATAGTAAATAAAATTATGTTTTATCACATATGGCCAATGTGAGCAACATAGGAAATACTATTTAATCCTCTAATTGGTTTATCTTAGAGTGCTGAGTTTCATAAGTAGTATCTGCTGGGTTTTTTTCTATTATTGCAAAAAAAATGCATACACTATTCATGACTCCTCCACAACTGGTCATAGTGGTTATTATGGAAACAGTTGGCCGTGTCTTCATTGTCTCAGCACATCAGATGAAACCCTGAAGAGCTCACAATGGTAATAGCCCTTTGCCTACTTCTTGAATTACCGTTACCTCACTTCAGAGTAACACCTGTTTTGTTCGGATGCAATACTTGTACCTGGAGCCTACAGGATGGGGTTTCTAGTCCAAACTCCACTGTATTCCAGTTTTGGGACCTTCCTGGGCTTCACTTCCTTCATCTGAAAAATAAGTGATTTGGCCTTTTGCTTTCAGCCCTGACATAACTTGACTTCTGTTTTTAGTGGCTATCAGATTGATGAATACATACTTAGAAGGTTAAAGCAAAGTAGCCCACATTCAATAAGGCCGCTTACAGCCAGGAAGTAAAAGGAATACTTGCTATGTGTGCAATTATTCTTTTTCTTTTCTTATTGCCAATGCTTTTAACTCAATAATCTACAGTCTCTCTTCAAATGATATACAGCAGATATTCTCTTTAATAAGCGTAAGTTGAAATTAATTATCCTTGGAGACTTTTTTTCTGATATTTTCATAACTTTGGAAAGAAAAGTCACCGTGGTGAATTAAAAACAGTAGGACCTTGGTTCCCTCTTAATTTGCTGGAACCACTAGGTCACATTGATTATCTTTTTTATGGGGACCTAGCCCTTCTTGGTAGATAAATGTTTATTGCAGATTTTGGGGAGAAGCCTCTTTCCCCAGCCTGCTGTATGTGAATGCCTTCTAGTAGAGCTCTAGAAAAAAACATCCATTTTCTCACAGACTAACATATATAAAATTTCGACTTGAATCTATTGTCGAATAATTCTTTGTCTCTCTCTTTAAACCCCAGTATATCAACATAAACCATCATAGTTTTTTTGTGTGAAAGTTGATACAGTTGCAACATAGTTATAATGCTTAATAACATACATCATCATTGGGAGACAGCTCAATACTGTATTTTATCATCCCATATTTTCCTGACAAAGATTTGAGGCTCAAAAAATCACCTTCTAGTCAGATATTGTGGATTGCAGAGCAAAGACCAAAGGTGTTATCCTTCGACATCTGTCTTACTCTTAGGTCTCTGAGTCTAACCATTATTTGTACATGCCTTCCAACTGCATATTCCTGCTATTATATACAGAATTTTAAAAATATATATGTTGATGTTTGTTATACATAAAACGTCGACTCCAATCTTTTTTCAAAGATTGTATGCCTGAACTAACTCTCACGTTATTATGTTAAAAATAATTTTCATGTAATGATCATTCTCCATCAACATGTAGTGATTTATATATAGCCTGTGTCTGCTAAAATTCTGTCAAAAATTTAAATATATCTCAACTCCAAATATAAATATTGGAGATAATCAAGGGAAACTTTTAATATTGCAGCTAAGTGCTAACCGACATGTGAGACATTGTGAGACTGTGCTCTTCAAAAATAAAATCTTGCGCCTGTAATCCCAGCACTTTGGGAGGTGGAGACAGGTGGATCACATGAGGTCAGGAGTTCAAGACCAGCCTGGCCAACATGGTGAAATCTCATCTCTATTAAAAATACAAAAAAAAAAAAAATTAGCTGGGTGTGGTGGCATGTGCCTGTAATCTCAGCTACTCGGGAGGCTGAAGCAGAAGAATCAAGCCCAAGAGGCGGAGATTGCAGTGAGCCAAGATCGCACCACTACTCTCCAGCCTGGGCAACAGGGTGAGACTCTGTCTAAAATAAATAAGTAAATAAAATAATTTCCAGAGAGGCTAATCTAAAACTTTCTTGCTTTGGATGGCTTGTTATTAAGTGACTTAGCTTTGTAAAAATTACTTTTCCTTTTTATTCCAAGAAACAGACAGACTTTGGAGAAAAATGTTTTCAGCCAGGTGTGATTGTGTTGGATTTGTCACGTTGATTTGAAAGGAATAATGGGTTTTCCTATACCTATACTCAGTTCAGGAACAGCTAAGTTATTACATAAAATTCTAAGTTTCCCTTTTACATCTTTGGGTGAATAAAAAATAAATAAATGCACATCAGCAAGTCTATTATCACAACATAAGCCTTGAAGAGCTCTGCTTATGGTCAGGATAATGAATGGGTATTATTCTTCAATAGAGTGTACTTAATGGCATTTGGAAGATTTGTAGAGATACGAAATTAGAGAACACTTTAAGTCAATTTTATGTTTGATTGCAGAGATGTTTTTGAGTCTTTACTACATTAAGCTGAAGTAAACTGTAGGATTCTATAGAATTCAACAAAGTTTCTATGGTATTATTTTTTATTTTATCAAATGAAAATGTATAATTTAAGAGCTAGAAAATGTTCTAAAACCCATACTGGGGAAAGTAATGCTTCAGGACAAGCAAATAGTATTTATAAGTAAATTTCACAAAAATCACTGAAATGATTTCAAATGTTTGTTCAATGAACTCTATTGACTTCGCCTATAAGTCAAGGCCTGTGCAGTTATCATGTACCTAAAGCGAATGAGATAAAGTCCCTGCCCTCAAGCATTTTAAATTCCAAGAAAATGCTTTCTCTCAATAATATGATGAGAGGAACCAAAAAGGCACTAAAAAGTAATAAAGTGTTCTGCAAGATATTGGATAATTAATGCATATTTCTTGGTGTGTTTTATATTTAATACCTATACAGTAGCATGAGTTTCCTTTGATTGCCCAAGCACTCTTATAATTGAGGTTCTATGCATTATTTTACCTTCTTTACTACATCTTTTAAAATATATAAAATATAAAACGATGGGATCAAATCACACAGAAAGTCCAAGTGATTTTTAATTTTTAAAATGACGGCTATGCTGGAGAGTTAACTTACAGTATTTTCAAGAGTACTCTCCACAAGGTAGGTCCCAGTACCTATGTTCATTTAGCAGGTAATTATGCAGTTTCACTTCATTCCAGATACTGGGCAATATTCAGGAAATAGAGCAATTAACAAGACAACACCTAGCTCCTAACTTCATGATGCCTGTCATTTAGATAGCTGGAAAATGTGTTGGTAATCTTCAAAACTCAAACAATATTTCTTACCTAAAGCAAAAGTTTTAAATTCAGGGTTGTTGAAGGAAAGTCAACGATTTGTCTTTGAATATTGCTTAGTGTCTGTATTAGTTCATTTTCATACTGCTATAAAGAACTGCCTGAGGTGAGATAATTTAGAAAGGAAAGATATTTAATTGACTCACAGTTCCCCATGGCTGGGAGGCTTCAGGAAACTTACAATCATGGCAGGTGAAGGGGAAGTCAGGCACCTTCTTCACAAGATGGCAGGAAGGAGAATGAACACAGGAAGAACTACCAAACACTTATAAAACCATTAAATCTCATGAGAATTCACTTGCTATCATGAGAACAGCATGGGGGGAACTGCTCCCATGATTCAATTACCTGCACCCGGTCTCCCCCTTGACACTTGGGGATTATCGGGAGTAGGGGATTACAATTCAAGATGAAATTTTTGGTGGTGACAGAGCAAAACAATATCAGTGTCCCATTCCATGGTTTTGTGACTCTTACAGGACACAAAAATTTCCATCTTTGTGTACTAAGCCTGAAGTCTCTGTTTTTATAACTTCTACGTGTGTGGTCTCATTTCTACCTACAGGGGCAGCGTATAACGATATTACTCTTTCTTTTATCAGATAGGCTTGAACATACTTGAAAACGGGTATGGTATCGCTTACCTCTTCACCTTGGCTTTTTCCCTAAACTTCTTTAAGACTTTCTTCAATTGTTGGCTGCTGCTTTGAAGATAAATGTTGATCACTAACACCTGTTTATTATCCTTCAAATGCATGATGTTTGCTCCCAATGAGTTTATTTTATAGAAAATGTCCTAAGTCATCACCTACTACTATTTCTGAGCTAAAAGGGGATTACAGTCCATTTCTTCCTGAATTAAAATTAATGAGACAAATCAACTTATCTTTAAATTCTATATTTCTACTTATAATAATGAGAATTGTATTAATTTTAGAGGAATTAGGACATAAAAGTTGGTAATATTTATATGAAGAATGTAATCATAGAAGCAAATTATATATATATATATATATTTCAGAATAGTTCTCAGTCATATGTGTGCAAGGAAGTAAGAATAAGACTATACATTTTGATGCATGCATTTGCAATTAGAAATCATAGTCTTTGAATGTGTGGTAAACATAGCCTACTGCTAAATATATTTCTGGCTTAAAACTCAAGAAATTATGTCAGATAAAAATAAATTCTTCATCATTTCCTTAGTTTTATAATAATTATGGCAAATACCACCTGTCTGCCAGCTTTCCTTTCAGAAGGTTAGAATTATGGAAACTTGAATTATTGTAGTGTTAGAGAAAAGAGTTTCTTCTAAACATTTCTTTATAAGTATTTTCTATTTTACCATAGAGTTGTTGAGATTATTTTTTAGTATCAGAGTTAATTCATGATTTAAGCATGAATGTGTAGAAAATCCATGTTGAGAGCATTTATAAGAGGCTTATATAAAATAATTTTTAACCACTTTATCAACTTAAAGGTACTGGATATCATTAATATCATTATGTCAGCATATGCTTTGTTTTTGAGTTCAAAAACTATAGATTATGAGAGTTGGAAGGGACCCCAGGGTTCAGATTGTTTGAAGTCTGAATTTGGTATATGAAAAAAATGAGATCCAAAAAAAGTCACAGACATAGTTAAGACCAAAGTTAGTTAAGACTAAGTCAATTCTTACCCTGGAATAACTAGATTTTTCTCTACAAAGGACCATAAATAACACTCTTATTATTCTTCTGTAAACACACTGATATCATATGTTAACAAGGAATTGTAAGGTAACTCCAACCTTTATTACATAAAAAGCACTTCGTTACTTTCCTTTCTTAATAAAATACTGAAAAAATTTTCAAAATCTACCATACTTTGATTTTGATGACTAGAGCTAGGGTATTACCTGGTTTTGAGATTCTGTAGTTGGAAAATTAAGACCCTTGTTTGGTTTTGTCAAAAAAAGAACCACGGCAGGCACACTTGCTCTTTCAGAATCCACGTCCTGAGTTAAGATAGCATTTGTCAGGCTATTTATTTATAACTTTTTATTTAAGTGTTTTTATGATGTGTTTAAGTCACACAAGCTTCCTATCATTGTAAAGAGTAGAGATATTTCTGGTAAAAAAAAATCAAGATCATTAGTATTGTTCATACCACCTGTTGTCCAAAGTTACCATAATATATCATATAGTTTAAGAAGAAACCTCTATTCCATGAGAATGGGGTTATAATGGAGCTCATAAATGACCGATGTCATTTTGGTCACATAAACATCTTTCATGAATTATGTTTGTAAAGTTGATGAAGATAAAAATAATGATAACATTAGCATAAAAGCTGATACCATTTTTGAATCTTTTTGTTCTGGGTACTTTAATACACATCCCCTTGCCACATTTACTTATTCCCATTTTACAGACAAATGATCTATCACTTACAGGCAGATCAAAGAGACTCACAACTTACTCAGCTCCCAAAGTGAATGAATGGCAGAGTAAGAAACAAGATTCGAGTCTGAAGTCAAGTTCTCCCTCTACACTGTGTACCTCCAATAATAAAGTAGGATATGCCTTCTAAATGTGTATAGAATTTTTACATACAATTACTTTATATATTATTTTTATGTGAAACTGAATACTTTTGTCATTTCTGTGTGCTATTATTGGACATTCATTTGCATTTCAATTTTTAGGTATTGCAGAAATAATTAATATACGGACCATGGAAGGCATGGTACGTATGTAAAATACACAAATGTTTCATGTTTGCATCCAGTTTTAACCGTAGTATACTTCAAACTCAAACTCTAAACTACCTTTATTTTGATACACTCGTAGTGACACTATATCCTACTTGTTTAAGTAAAGAGAGAGAAAATTCACTACTGCCTGAGAAAAACAATTAAATTAGGTAGTGTTAAAGTTCCACATAGCAGCCTCATTGTCTTCTCAGGAAATCAAAACAGTGGAGCATAGTGCAATAGTGTGGAAGAGAAAGCCAGCCGCAGGAATCTTCCCTCCAAGTCCCCAAAATATTGACACACCTCGAAATCAATGGGCTCAAAATGAACAACATGTTCAAAAGCACAGCCCTATGTGTATTTGAATAAAACCTGGCTTTTTGAGATAAAAATAGAACTGAGCTGTTGTGAGATAAGAGTAATATTATTTCCTAGACACTGGCCTGTCTTCTACTTGGGTGGAGGAATGGATGGAGACAGAAAGAGAGAGAGAGAATGAATGAATATGAATAGAAAGATTTTCTGTGAACTGGCTCCTATAGATGATGCATGCTAACTTGCCCTACTGGATCTTGGCAAGAGCATCCCCATCTCGTTTTATCTGGGGTACAATGCTTTCCTCATTATATAAGGAAATGCCAATATTCTGATATTTAATAATGTCTATGTAAAATATTTTGCCCTAGCAAATTGAAAATGCCTAAGTAATTCTTATAGAACATTAACTTACTAAGCATTAGGTTTGTTGTACAAGTCACTAGCATAGCAGTGAGCAGGAGACCAACACACACGCACACACGCAATCCCATGATAATGGTATAATAAAGTACAATAAGGTACATATCCATTCGTCCTGCAAATTATAAAAGCAACCACCAGGTCAGTGAGCTGTCAACACTTTACCTACATGGTGGCATTCAGGATGAATTCTGGAGAGTGAATAGTGGCTTTCCAGAAGCGACAGTATCTTGGTTTCATAAAAACCTATGTGCAAAAGCACAGGGGCTTGAACATTCATGGAGTGATGGAGAGAATGACAAAATGTTTGGGCTGAGCATTGCAGTAGTTGGTGGCAACCCGAGAGACAGACTGATGCTTTGTGTGTAGCACTAAGCGGTGTGCAGTAGATCCTAATCTTCTGGTTGGGAAATGGCAGAAGAGATGCAACTGCCAGACTTTCCTTTTTTTATTTTTATTATTTTTGGTAAAGAAGAGACATGGTAAGGTCTGTTAACTAAACCAGCAAACGTTTATCTGCTGCCACTGGTAGAGGTTAGTATTTGAAAGCAGAGATAGCTAAGTCTTTTGAACCACACTAGCTGTTGATAGAATATTTGAAATCAGCACTGAGGGAGGGGAGAGAAACTGGTCTGATTATGGAGAGTCTCCTTTGGTTCAGGCCCGGAAAAAAATATATATAAAAAATATTAATTGGTTTTTAGTAGTGCAGGTGGAAATTAGTTTTTGCATTTTGCATTTTCCTATATCTTAATCTATGCAGTAGAGGTCTTTGCAGTTAAATGGCTCTATTTCAATAGTGGTTACCAGGGGCTTGGGTGTTATTTTTTTTTAACAGTTACAGATTTTCTGTTGGGGGTAAGGAAAAAGTTTTGGACGTGGATAGTGGTGATGGTGACACAATCTTGTGAATGTTCTTAATGTCACTGAATTGTACACTTATAACTGGTGAAATTGGCAGACTTTGTAGTTAGCTCTCCATAATATAAATTGAATTTTTAAAAATGAATCAAAACCCTGATTCTAAAATACCAAAAATCTAATTATCTGGAAAAAATTATCCTATTTCAGAAGTATGGCATTTGTATTTTTGCTGCTTAATAAAAATCACTTCTCTTTCATATTTGAATGGAAATCCATCATGAAACAAATTATATTTCTCAGCTAACCTAAGAACTCTAATTTGGCTGGCTTGGTTTATTTGTCAGATTCAATTATATAAAATGATGCCAATTTGAATCTCTGACCATGTTATATCTACCTATCGTCTTTATTTAGAAAAAAAAATACATCATTTTCAATCATTTTGGAAAGTTTCAAATGTTCTGCTTCCACACACGGTATGGTACTGCAGGAGTCAGCACATCCTTTGACTTGTAAAGTTGTCATCTCAACTGTTACAACTTCCTTTTAAACTTTGGGTCAGTCGACCCTGTGAATTCTAACAGTTCTCTAGCTACGTAAGTCACATGACACAAGAAGTTCATTATTGATGAACTAATGCTATGTGAACGACACACACACAGACTTATTAACATTTGAGGAAGAAATGTATGCAAGATTCATGCTCATTAGAACCAGAGAATAAAATCATTTAAGAACTGAACATAGAACCGAAGTATAGGTACTGTTACAACTCTGTTAAAATTAAAAATAGTTAATAAGAATTTCCAAATTTGCATGGGGGAAAATATTGGCTTAAGATTTAGAGATAGGTATGGAATAGTAATTTCATGAGAGTGTGTACATAGAACACCTAATATATTCACTGGTAATAGACTTAACATCTCTTACCTTAGTAGTGCTTACTAATGTAGTTATTTATCAATATGTATTATAGGCAAAATGGCTTTATCATGGCAGTGATTATTGTTTTTTTCTTCAGAAGACTTGGATATCTTAAAACTAATTGTTCAGAGAAGGACAACTTAAAATGCCTGAAATGGCTACAGACAAGAGAATAATTGATAAAAACTCAACCTAAGTATTATCCAACTTTGATTTTTTACTTACTGCTGTGCTCTTCTTTGCAAACAAATGAGAAGTAACAGCTCATAGTGTTTAAAATTATTTTCCGAATACAAGGAGTCTCTTCCTTTGAATGAACCCTGATTTTTTTTTAAGACAAATTTATCTGCTCAGACATTTCAAATCAGTGACTAATTGAATTAGCCTTCACCCACTGGAGAACACTGCGATGTCTGGTCAATTTCCTGCCATGCAATAACATCAGAAGTACAAAATGACATAAAGTAAAATGGCAATTTGTAAAAAGCAAACGTTCTCTAAGGAATTTGCAACACTGGATTGCCAATGCTTCAGTCACTTTAGTTGATATTTTTAACCGTGCTTGTGAATAAGGGAAAGATGATCTTACATAATTAACTTCAGTAATTTGAAGGGCATGTTGACAGCATGCAATAAATTCTTTGGATTTTTACAGTTCGAGTATATCTGAGTTATTTTAAATTAAGACACATGTTAAATCCAATTTTATAGTCCTTTTTAGTTTTTTGCCAAATAAAAATTATTAGAAGGATAATTTGAGTGAACTTAATTATAAATTTTAACTTGTATTTCATCACCATCCTTCTGTGTTTGTACAGGGTGAACCTACCTAAGACAGTACCTCTCAATCACAAATGTATTTAGCATGTCAGTGTGACACTTGCACATCAGTCACTCTCAGATGGACAGTGACAGTTGGGTTTCAGATGTCTGCAGCCCCTTAAGGGCCTCGCGATGTGTCCCATTGAGATCTGGAAGTGATGGTTGATATTAGCCTAACAAGGAAATGTGTTCCAAATACCGGGAGATAGTTTGGAACTCTTTTTTTGTTGTTGTTTTTTGTTTGAGATGGAGTTTCACTCTTGTTGCCCAGGCTGGAGTGCAATGGTGTGATCTTGGCTCACTGCAACCTTCGTCTCCTGGGTTCAAGTGATCCTCCTGCCTCAGCCTCCCAAGTAGCTGGGATTACAGGCATGTGCCACCATACCCAGCTAATTTTTTTTTTTTTTTTTTTTGTATATTTAGTAGAGACGGGCTTCCACTATGTTAGCCAAGCTGGTCTGGAACTCCTTACCTCAGGTGATCCACCTGCCTCGGCCTCCCAAAGTGCGGGGATTACAGAAGTGAGCCATCACACCCGGCCTGGAACTCTTTCAATTCGAGTATTGGTAAAAGTCATTGTTCAGCTAAAAATACTTGCATATCATAAAGTATCCTTCAGTCTGATTTGCATTCTGGATATGAGGATTAAGGTGTAAACTTGAGTTATGCTCACACATGTTGAGAGATCATTCTCAAATTACATACACATCCTGCTTCAAGTTATCTTTCTCTACTTATGTAAATATATATCTTCTTTATTTTAACATGTTTATCCTCCAATCAACATGAAGATGCATTTATTTTGTTCCAGATGTCTCTGGAAGCTCATAAAATTAGATTGAATTCTGGGCAGTTTTTCCTTCCTAAATAATCATTAGTATTTCACTCTAAAAATTAAAATGTGCATTCAATTTTATTATCTTATTTGAACATCCAGCCAACCTTATGGGAGACTAAGAGCATGTACTTTCATTCCACTTATACAGCTACAGGAAGTGAAATTCAGTAAACTTCAGGGACAAACCCAGTTCTTTCATTTATAAAGAAGTAAACAGAAAACTGGTTCTGAAAGATGTTAAACAGTTTGGCCAGGGCCACATGCCCCATTGCGAAGTGAAGCAGAGACTCAGTCATCCTTCTGATCCTTCTGAATCCACATGTCCTGCATTATCACTGAGACAACTCATCTATCTATAAAATTGAAAAATAAATCAGGTGAGTGGTCAATCAAAATATTCAGATAGGGGGACCTTGTGTACACCTGCTTTAAATAAACAGGTTTGACTTTGATTGAAGTAATACATGTAAAGCATTTGCAACTATGCCTGATACACAATAAGTACTCAGTAAGTATTGGCTAATTGTTATCAATGGGAACATTTTTAAAATCTGAAATGTGTTAAAATCCTTATATCAGAGGCCCTTCATGTGTGTTTTCTTAGATACATAACTCATGATATCTGTATGCTATCTACAAATATTTGCTTGTATCTTCAGAACAGATGTGCATATTCACATTACATAAGCTATTTGCCTACAATAGAGATTTTGAGAGGCTTTGAAATATATTTGATTCCTTCTTTAAAGTAAAGCAACGTGCATATTGTGGAGGACAGTTTTTGAAGTGAAGAAGTGACCCAAAGCAAAAGGAATCAATAGGTAGCAAGTACATATGCAAAGAAAGGTTAATTCACCAAGGGCTGATGTGCTGAAAATCCTGCTCCCCAAACTCCGCTCCAGAACCATCAAATACAGCTGGAGCAATTACATCAGACACGACTGGTATTAAAGTCCATCGTGGGTGCACAACAGGTGGACAACGACGATAAAAAGAACAATTTCATTCACAAAATGAGTTTTTGTCAGGTTCAATGACAAAGAAGTTTTCATTTTTTTTCAGTTTGGCTTAGTGACCATAACTGAGTTTCTGGAACCTGGAGAATGGAGAATCTCTGAGAAGATTTTAAAGAGTGTTAGAAAAATGTATTTTTGGAAGATCCACCTGCTTCAGGGTCATTGATTAACTCCAGTCCTTCTTGTCCTTCTTGGTTCTGTGCTCCTGCTAGTCATCCTTTTTTTTTTTCCTTCCTTCCTTCCTTTTTTTTTTTTTTTTTTTTTTTGGAGACAGGGTCTTGCTGTGTTGTGATGGGATCACGTTTCACTGCAGCCTCGACCTCCTGGGATCAGGTGATTCTCCCACCTCAGCTTCCCAGGTAGCTGGGACTACAGGTGCATGCCACTAGACCCGGCTTATTTTTTTTCTTGTACTTTTTGTAGAAATGGGATTTTGCCATGCTGCCCTGCTGGTGTTGAACTTTGGGACTTAAGCAATTTGCCCCCCTTTGCCTCCCAAACTGCTGGGATTACAGGTGTTAGCCACCATACCTGGCTGCCTGCTACTCATTCATTCATTTTGCTCTAAAATGTATTAATGTATTTCCCTTTTCTCTTATCTCCTCCTTGGTCCTGAAGTCTTTGGAAAGAATGTGAAGATAAAAATGAAGATAGTGCCACTTGAGAAAGTAAAAAAAATAAAATAAACCCAGAAAGCCAGATATGTCTTGCCAGATTCACCCAGCTATCAAGATAATAAGAAATTTTATATGTTCTTCACATGTGCCATATGCTTAACTTTTAGGATTTGACAATCTATATGTTATAGAGTATTTGGTATGAAATCAGCTTGTTTTTTTAATACTAGTAAGTGAGGTGTATAAAATATTTGATAGGAATTGGAAAGTGGAGGTATTTCTATGAGCTTAGGTTAGGCTAGTATGATTGGGTGACTACTCCCATGGTTAGTGAAAATTTCAATAATTCTATTGCTTACCATTTTGACGTTGCCATGAAAGTCATGTTATTTTGTTAAGTGACCAAGAAAACTTGAGTTGAGTGTTAAAATTGTATGGTCAAAGAAGAGCTTTTAGACACCTGTGTCTACACAGAGGAATTTCAACGCAAATTCATACTACACGTATTATCTTCCACCTGAGATCATCTAAGTTACAGGAAATAAATGATAGCAATAAAAATAAATGTATAAACACACAAAGACCAATAGGAAAGACACAAAAGCAGGTAAGGGAGGTAAATCTATTTCTAGGAGGTAGAAAGTGAATGAGGGGCCAGGCATGGTGTCTCACCCCTGTAATCCCAGCACTTTGGGAGGTCGAGGTGGGTGGATTGCTTGAGGTCAGGAGTTCGAGACCAAGCTGGTCAACATGGTGAAACCTCGTCTCTACTAAAAATACAAAAATTAGCTGGGCAGGGTGGTGTGTGACTGTAATCCCAGCTACTCAGAAGGCTGAGGCACATGATTGCTTGAACCCCGGAGGTGGAGGTTACAGTGAGTCAAGATTGCACCACTGCACTCCAGCCTGCGTGACAGAGCAAGACTCCATCTCAAATAAAATAAATAAGTAAATAAATAAAGTGAATGAAGGGATTACAGCTGATTTACCAAAGCTTACAGAGGGCAATTGACTGCCTGTAGGAGGGCCACCCATGGGAAATAAGCCTATATTCTTGCGGAGGCCTGGAGAGGCATAACACCTGAGCTCCTGGGTGCAGTTCCATGCAGGAGTAAGGTGGGAGGCTATAAACAGGGCACCTGGTTGAAAAATACGTATATAGCGTCACTAGATTCTTCGATCCTTTTCCCAGCGCCAACCCATGTTCTCCTCCCATCTCTCATCCTGCTTTACTACCAGAAAAGTGGAGATAGATTTATTTTTTACAGGAATTAAGTGGCAGTGCCTCTGCATTTAGGACACCAAGCACAAAAGAGGTCTAAAAATGGAGATTAAGTGAAATTATTTTTACTAAGGAGTGTAATTTTTTGTCCCCTCTCTCTGCCATATCCCAAGAACATTGGCAGCTAGACTGGCTTCTCCTGCCGTTCTTGCCCATCCATCAATCTTGCACATCCCTTCCACCCACATGGAGCAAGAGACTGCAGTATTCTTCACTGAATAAATTGAAGTGATGGCAGAGAAATTAGAAATACTGGCATCTGGGGTGCTTTATCAAATACCCATCTGATTATGCCAAAATCCTATAGTAAACTAATCAGAAAATGTCCTCCATGCTTCATAAGATAAAAACAGAATTTAGGCTGGGCACGATGGGACATGCCTGGAATCTCAGAGCTTTAGATGGCCTAGGTGGGAAGATCCTTTGAGGGCAGTAGTTCAAGGCCAGCTTTGGCGACATAGAAAGACCCTGTCTCTACACAAAATTATAAAATTAAGCAGTCAAGATGGCTTGCACCTGTAGTCCTAGCTAATTGGGAGGCAAAGATGGGAAGCTCTTTTGAGACCAGGAGTTCCAAGCTGCCATAAGCTATGACTGTGACACTGTACTCCAGTTTGGGTGACAGAGTGAGTCTCTGTCTCCAACAAATATTTGTTTTTTTCTTTTTTTTTTAAAAAAAAAGCAGAAATTTACATTTATATTATTGTTTTGTGTTTCACTGGATAGTTGTAAAAGCCTCCAATACAAAAAAAAAACAACAAAAAAATACATACTTACATGCATGACAAAAACTTAAAGAAAATAGATATAATGGAGTAAATCAAAAAAACCTTCCCAAAGTTATTACTAATCTCAGAGAGATAACAGAAATTTTGTATCCATGTACAGGATTTTGACATTCAAAGACAAGAAATATCTGCAGACAATAACAAATGTTATAACTGAATAAAATAATAGATTGGAAAAAAAAGGAAGGAATTTTTGCACGTGTTAGAAAATGATGAAAATTTAAAGTGAAATCAAGACGTGGACAACAGGAAATAACAAGAAAGTAGATTAGCAGTATTTGTCAAACAATACAAAAAGAGTCTCAGAAATGGACAGAAATTGCTAGATTGAAAATGTTGTGAAACTCAGAAAAATATCAGCCAAATAAAATTACGTTATCATTTCAGAAAAAAAACAATAAAAATTACTCTATACAACTTGTAGGGTTTTTCTGGATGAAAATAGAGCTCATACAAAAGTTTGAGCGACAAAACGGCACAGAATTTCACAGTAACCATGAGCACTAGATAACAATGGTTAACGTCTTCAAAATTCTAAGAGGAACTAATTTTCAAACTAGCCAAACTAATGGATACTTATTGGTGCTGAATAAAATGTCATTGGAGAATATGTTTCACTGTATTGAGGAAATCAACTAGAAGAGGACATTTCAAGGAGTAAAGAGCCTGTGAGAAAAGTGAAGTTGAGACAAACATTCTACTGAATGCCTCAGGGGCAATCAGGTCAGGTTGAAAGAATGTTTGAAAAGGCTCTAAGAGTGAGGTCTTCGGTGGAATAATGGGATGGATCCATTTTTGGATGCGTTTGATGGGATAAAATATTTTGAGGATTTTATATAACTGCAGAAGTGTTAGGGAAAATATCACTAGTTACACAGAATACTATGCATTCTAAAAGTAAGATGTATCAATTACAGGAAAACAAAAAGTTGTTCAAGGTAAGAAGTTAATCATAGTAAATGACTTGGATTTTATAGTCCTAATGAGGTAAACACCCGTTGTTAATTTTACTCCAAAGTGTAGTGACTATTTCGTAGGGTGAGAAGAGGAAGAATCTTTCTGTAAGAGAGTAAAATGCTCATCTATGATGTTAGGATGTCAATAGATAAGATGGGCTAAGTGCATTGTTTAAAAATGTGCAGTGAAATCAGAAGTAACAGCCACATGCATTGTAAATAGTTGTATTTCAGGAGTTGAGGAATCTTTTAAAAATAAACATTTTATTATTATATAACTTATGATGTAAATGAATTCATTTGATAAAATAGTTTTACCATTTTATAACAGATGATCATCTGTTCTTGCTTAGATGTAAGAAACTTGTGTACCCTTATAAAGGAATTTGCAATTTTATTTTTAGGAAACTACCGGACTAAAACTAGCAAGAAATAATTTATGCATGTATGTATGTACGTATGAATGGATGTACATATGTATGGATATATGGATGTATGGATGCATGCACCCATGACTGTATGTATGCACTGGCATTATTCTATCTATTGTGTATGAAGATTGCAGGATACTTTTTAACATAAGATGTACAAGCGCTTAACTTTACATCTATCTTGTTCCTTGAAGAATCATAAACAAGGAATTCAGCTTAGTTTGGTACTTTGTTTATCCCCAGCACATGCCAGGTGAAAGTAGTTTTCAACAGTGGGAAAGAAGAGTGAGATCGGTAGCTTGCCAGCTCTCTCAAATTTACATCATCATAGTGATATTTCTTATTCTCTTCTAAGTAAGATGTCAGAACATTAAACACACTTGTCTATATATCAGGGGCGTTGCAAAATTAAACAAATGTTATGTATAGTTTATCTTTTCCATTTCCTTCAAGATATTATTTGTATTTCATCTTCTGAGTGTCCTAGATCAAGATTTCCTGAGACAGTGATCTTTAGAAATATTGAAAAAGAGTTTTGTGGGTCTAGTACATTTCAGAAGTAATGAGCACATTATATCCCTCCTAAAAATGTATTCATTATTTGGCAATTTTTTTAGAGTCCCAATGGTGGTAAGGCACTGTTCTGAGTAACTGTGAAGGCTACATATGCCTTGTTGAAATTGCATCCTAGTGAGCAAAGAGAAACCATAAGTCAGTAACAAAATACATTTTCCTATTTTTAAGGAGAGTAAGTGTTATTTTAAAAGTGTAGAGCAGAAAATAGGGAAGATTGTTGTTGCAATTCTAATGAGGGAGTTCACCTCATTGAGACACTGATGTTTTCACAGAGACTGTTAAATGGTTAGGTAGTTAGCTATGTGGATATCTGGGAAAATCATTCTAGAAATAAGCAACAGTCAGAACAAAGGTCACGTACAGGAAGACTTCTGGTGTAAGTTGGTCATTAGGATTTTGACATTCCGTGAACTGAGAGAACTATTGGAGGGTTTTGATCAAAGTTAGACAAGCTAGATAATACGCTGAGAAGAGATTAGAATAGAAAGGAACAAGGCTGGAAGCCAGGAAGCCTGCTCAATGCCTACAGCAGTTAGATAGGTATCGGGTGATAATTATAGTGCCGTGACCAGAGTGGTCACCATGGAGCAGCTGGAAGTTGTTGGATTCTGGATACGTTTGAAGATAGAACAAACAGGATATCCTGAGGGCGTTGCCTCTCTGTGCATGGTTAGGCTACCCAACTAGTTGCTTTCCTCACTTGTGTCCAGTGCAACTGAGTGTGGACAAAAATGAGAGCGCCTGGTTGGGGATTGCCACCTGACATGCGGGGAACACCAGGTACATGTTGAATAAGAAGGTCCCAGAAATTCCTACAATAAACATACCTGTTACATATCTACTTAGCTTTTCCAAAACATATGACCCCAGAATCCATTTTAAAAATACATAACAAGCACCGCTTCATGGCAGTAACGTTGAACAGAACGTACTTGGAAGCTGTGTCATAGAAACCAGTGATATGTGCAATTTCTTTCCAAATTCTCATATAACCTTTAAAAATCTATATTAAAACTAAGCATAGACTAAACTATTTCCCTCTAGATGAAATCATCTTCCATTTGATGACATATACTATATAGCATGGCTTGATAATCTCAGTTAAAGCATACAATTAAGATTTAAGTTTTCACGTTTCTTGTTTTTAATTTTGTAATTCTCACAAGACCTAAGGAAGCAAAGGCAGCTGCTTATATTTTTTTCTAAAAATATTCTTTCCTCTTTGTTGAAGGAATGAGAAGTCAATAAATTACCTGCTTTCTTTGACTAAAGGACATGCATTTTTTAGACACTTGTCAGAAGCATGGGATATATTTTCTTCATGAAAGCCCCGCTTTTTTCACTTCTAGTTTGAAACAGGGGGAAATTACTGATGACTTATATAAAAGCTTCATTTATTTATTGAGTCACTAAATCTAATTATGTCTATTATTCTTAAAAACTCCATGGTAACTCACAAAACCAGAAAGACTGGTTCACATAGATCCCATACTTGAATAGCTTATTATTGTAGCAGAACTCAGAACACTGCCTTGCTTAAGAAGCTGTCAGAATTTCTATTCATTTCAAGAGCTTATAAATTAACTGTGGGAATATTTCTGGCTGAACTATGGAGTGCTTGATTCTGTAAGCCTCAATATCTTCAATATATATTGCAGTTTTCTGTTAATACTTTTAACCTTCATCTACCTTTATTATAGACTTACATTTTGAAGAAATGTCAATTGCTTAAAAATTGTTTTAAAATAGGTGGGTAAAGATCAACCATGTTCACCTTTAACTTGATTTTGACAATTGGAAATATTTGTAAAAGTTAAAAAAAAATTGATGTGTCAAATATGTGCACTTTCATTGAACCTGTTTTTCTAATCTCATATTGAATATATTGACTCTTCATGAAAACTATAAAAATATAATGTGGAAACAGAGTATGTTAAACACAAATTGATCGAAACAACATTTTGTTTGAGGGAAACATATGTTCTAAGGACAGGAAAGACCTCATAGAATTTGAGACATCACTTTATGGATTATGAACACTCAAATACATGAAGCTCCCTCTTATCAAATGAATGCTAAAGATGCTTTCTCCTCAACGTCGTGACTTGAACCATCTGTTGACATCACACAATTATGGAAAAAATAACATCTTACTAAGGAGAGAAAAGCAGAAGGAGTACTTCAAGTAAATGACTAAAATACTTCTCCTTACAGACACCAGCTTTATCAATCCACACTTCCATATTGCAGGGGCTGGCAGAGTGACTGCAGGAGCTGAGTATTGTCCAATTGTACTATCCACCTACTTAGCTAGTACACCCCTGTCCTAGTCAGTTTGTGTACACGTTTTAAATTAAGCATGGTGAGTCCTTATAGAGAAGGGGAATGGGAAAAGAGACATGGTAAGAAACAAACAAAAAATCTTACTATAGCAATGAGTTTTTATATCCTTTTGTTAATTTTAACTCTAGAATGGTAAACATCATTTATTTCTTCAGTGCATTTTTTTCTTTCATATGAGGATCTTTCACAAGATTATTTTTAATTGTCTACAAAGACACTGATATCACAATGAATTTCTCATATAAGCACTTCAGAAAAGTTGATAAGAAGTAGTTATTTCTACTCTGATATGTGTGTCTTCCCTGAAATGATCAAGAGAACTTAGGCAAAAAGAAGAAAGCGCCTGTTACATAGGGTTTCCGACCATAGTGCCCGTAGATTTGTGTTTCATTGCTTTTTGAACATAATTTTTCACAAACTGCCAAATGTGCTCTTCTCTGCCAACGCATCTTTCCTTGTTTAAAAAAATATTAGGGGCTTTGCCCTTTGTGTGGGGTGAGAATTTCAAGCCTGACTCCAGGATTCCTGAAGGCAACTCAGTAATATTAGGCTCCCAGGCAGAACAGTTTGCTATAGCTTTAGGTCTACAGGTCAGTGTTTTTCAGTTGTCACAAACTGTTTTTACCTAATTGCCAGATTTCATTTGCTTTTATTACTCTTCATGATTTATTATATTTTAAAATTCATACTTCTAGCATATCTGGCAACAGTCTCAAATTAATGTGTTTCCTCTTCCTGAATTTCTTCTCACATTTCTAGCTAGACTTAGGATTCTGCTTCAGCAGACACAAGAATCAGGAGCATGGTTAGGCTTCCCAAATAGCTGCTTTCCTCCCTTGTGTCCAGTGCAATTGAATGTGGACAAAAATGAGAGCGCCTGGTTGGGGATTGCCGCTTGGTGTGGAGGGAACACCATGAGTTCACACTGACTTCTGCAGGAGGTGCGTGGAAGCAATGCAACAGGTGGGAGGAGAAAATCTAAGTGGAAGGTGAACTTGTCCTGTTTGTGAAGTCTCCATTCCCTGGAATATTTTCCTCTTGTGTTGACATAGTCTTTGTTGGAACATTAAGTTCATCATACTGTAAGTGAGTGAATATCAACTTGTTTGTTTTCTGAAAGTTTCATATTTTCTCCAGTAATTTTCTGCATTTACATATATTTATAAAATAAAAATATCTGTTATGATGATATACACATGTATTTTAAATATATTATATGTTATGATATACACATATATTTTATAATATATTTAAAATACGTGTGTATATGATAACATATATTTTTATACACATATGCATTTTATAATATATTTAAAATATATTTTAATATGTATATTAAATATATGCACATATGAATTTTATAATATCTTGAAAATGTATGTGTATATATACATCTTATATCATCCTATCTTACGGTAAACAAGTATACATTTATAGTGGATGTTAATTATTTTTATTATTCATATGCTATTAAATGTTTTAAAATTATGAGACTATGCAAGGTCTGTCACTTTAAATTAAAAAAAAATAGCGAGTAAGGAGGGCTGTAAAGGTGTTGAACAACTTAAAAAGAAAACAAATCTCCAGTGGCCCCAAGTAGAAAAGAAACAACTCTAGAAAAATGATAACTCTGTCATCCATTATGAGCGAGAAAGTAATTAGCAGTTCTTAGGGTGATAACCAAATAACTCTCCCCTAAGTGGTTTTACGTCACCCCAGGATAGGAGCAAGTGGTCTTTGAGCACGTGACTGGAGCAGTCTGAGAGTAGTTGTCTAGAATCCTTCAGATACTGAAAATCACAGAACGCAGCACAGCGTTTCTCAAACTCAGCCATTCATCTGAATCGCCTGGATGGCTTTTTAAATATAATTTTTTGCCTCTGAAGTTTAACAACTACTTTCTAGAGGGGAAAGATACTGATTGGCAGTGTTTGCCAATTTCTACGACCTAAATATTCCCATGTTGGCCAATTTGAAGGTACTGTTACGCCACCACCTAACATGCAGTTTGGAAGAGAGGGCCCGGGCGTGGTGGCTCACGCCTGTAATCCCAGCACTTTAGGAGGCCGAGGTGGGTGGATCACCTGAGGTCAGGAGTTCGAGACCAGCCTGGCCAATATGGGGAAAGCCCGTCTCTATTAAAAATACAAAAATTAGCCGGGTGTAGTGGTACATGCTTGTAATCTCAGCTACTCGGGAGGCTGAGGCAGGAGAGTCTCTTGAACCCAGGAGGCGGAGGTTGCAGTGTGCCGAGATCATGCCACTGCACTCCAGCCTGGGTGACAGAGTGAGACTCTGTCTCACAATAAAAAAAAAAAAGAGAGGTGAGAGTTGCGGTCGAAGTAGTGCATCCACCAAACAGACACAGTAGGCATCAATAATCTCAACACATGAAAGACACCAATCATAATAAAAAGTCATAAAATGCATGGGAAGTACTGTTTTCTGTATTTATAACCTTAGTTTTTAAAATACAAATTAATTACAAGTTTATGCAACTTTATTGGTTTTTAAGGATGACTGTGTTTCAAAGATGCATTGCAACATTTCTGAAAACTTCTGTGCACACGAATGGGTAGAAGCCAACGGGAACAGCCCCGTAGGTCTGCACTCAGAGGGTTTCTGATATAGGGAACTGGAGGTGCAGCCAAAGAGTCCCATTTAAAGCCATTTCTGTGATGCTGAAGCGATTGTTCCAGAGCCTATTTTGAGAGCCACTGACATACAGCAATGGATGTCCCGAGAAAATCAGCTGGCTTTCTCGTCTAAGAAAGAACATTGAAAACCCAGAAAAATTAGACAGGAACATTCTAAAAGATAAAAGTGTCACAGACAAACAGAAACATGTTTTCACTGATCATTTCAATCAGGTATTTTGAAACAAAGTACTCTGAATTCCTGAAGTTATGAGTTAGTATGTGTAATCTTGTCAACACCAAAAGCAAAAGTAAGAGAAAATGAGAATTTTTTTCTTAAAGTCAAGTATGGAAAACCGTAATTCTGTGTAATAGCAGTTATTATTAATATTGCTCTTATCCTCCAGTCTCTGCATATTTCCATGGTGCTTATGTAGTTTATGATAGCTTATAAGGAACATTCACACACATGAATTCAGATGAGTACACATTGGGTATTTGCTTTTGGTAGGATTTTATTTTATAGTATATCCTTCTTTTAGAAAGTATAAAAGTTCTAAGTAGATAAAATGTGTTTATCATTTAAACATATTTTTTAAAAAAATAAAATCTATAGATGAATTGAGGTGGAATGCATCTATTCTGTTGTGCCACGTGATCAATTTCAGTCATCATTCAAATCAATAAATGGTGTCAGCTATACAATTGTGCACAGCATTGGGAGTGCTAACCTGGAAACAGCTTCAATCAGAAAACAATCACACACAAAAAATGTGTCTTTAGAGTTACAAATGGAAATATCACCTTTTTAAATAACAAGCTTCCTTTATTTAAAACCTGTTATTTGCACCTCTGTTGTAACACTTATCACACCATATCGTAATTGGTAATTGTTTAAAAATAATTTCTTAAACTCTGAGCTCCTTGAGGTTAGGGAACACATAATGTGTTTTCTGTTTGTTTATTTCTAAATGGCAAATAGTTGGTTCTTATTTGAACCTACTCTTTGGCATTTAGAAATAAAATAATGTGTTTAAATTGGCACAGGTAGGATACATGGAAGAAATGTTTATGAATTTGGAGAAAGAAAAGCACTCAATTCTTTTTAACAGGTGGGTGGGAAGGGTAACGTCTTCATTGCTGCTGTGTTTCTGGTAATCTCGGTAGTATTTCTTAACTTTACTGTGCATTAGGTGCACCAGGAGAGCTTTTTAAACATCAAAACCCTTGATCCCTACTCCTGGGTAGTCCAATCTCTAAGCCCAGGGTTGAGTCCTGCAACCTGCATTTGAACAGGGATCCCAGATAATTCTTCCTGTGGCAGATAGTTCACAAACCACATTTTGGGAAAATTACCAAAGACAGAGAGAATTAGCCTTGCAGAAAGACAGGTATTGATCTCCATCCAAATCTTGGAACAGGCAAATTTAGCAACATGTAAAAATAGCATATTGATAATTCTTTTCTTAATGTGAATAACATTTAATTCTGACTGCTTCTGTGTATTTCTATGAGTATTGCCAAGTTTTTTTCTTTACTAAATTTTATGACTAGTTGACAATCGTTTCTCAACAGTGAGAAACAAATTGAGATAAAGGTTTATAAGGGCACAGTTCAAGTTACATAACTTGCCACCGTGGACGATGTTGGGTTCATCCAGAAATGCTCCTTATAAAGCAATTATTTAGTATTTGAAGTGATAGTGTTAATCTTAATGATTTTATTTGTCCTTCATATTGATTACATGTGTTGATCGCATAGTCCTTCCATAAATGGTGATTCAGGATTTAGTATCTGTTAATGAAAAGTTACAACAAGTTCAATTGTGAATAGATATTGTACTTTCTAAAAGACTGATTTAGTTAGGCTATTTAGAAATATATGTTCAAAAGATAAGGCTGGAAAATTTTCAGCAAAACTCATTAGGAAATAAAAGATTTTCCTCCTACAATGAGTGCTACCTTATACTTTGAGTGTATCTTCTACCTTGAGAATTAAATTCAGTTAATTTGAGTTAATAACTGTTACAATTCCATTTGAATATATATTTCTTTTAAGGACTATAATGTTTTTTTGTCTTAACATCTGCTCACGTATTAATGGTCACTCTCATCTCACATGTGGAAAACCTTTAGTATAAGTATGAATGCATGGATGTGGAATAAAAACAGCCTTCTACTTTTGTATCAATTACTGCCATGTCTTGTAGTATGTAGCAGTGAATCAGTTCAGTATAGATTTCATTCAAAAACATTTGTTAACAACATCACAGTCTACATCCAACAAGCTTACCTGCATATAGTCAGAGTTATTAAAAACGCTGATTACTGTGTAGAAGTATTGTTTCATTAGGATGTAAGCTATAAATTGAAATTACAGGAAATTTCAAATAAAAATAAAGGAATCTCTCAATATTTGATATACTCATTTTAATACTCATTTTAATGTATTCCATGTTTTGCTTCTGATAGATTTTTAAATCCATATTTGAACCTCTACCACAATCACCATATCAACTATGCTCTAATTGTGAATTGTGAATTAAATACAAAATCATAGTGTGGATAATTTTAAAGTGAAAATTTAAAAATCATATTAAAGTATTGAAAAAATAGAATTTAAGTAATTCATGAAAAGGTAAACTTTTATGTCCTTAAATATTTTGCCTTTTCTTTTAGACATAGGTAATTGAAATCCAGTAAGTATGACTCACTAATATAGACTCTTCCATTTTACAATTTTTAAGTGTGAAACTGTGTGGACATTTGAATCAACGCATACATTATTCAGTTTCACTTATTGGGTTTGTTTTCATTCCCAAAAAGCGTTGGCTAATTAACTTGATTATAATATTTGTTGCGTTTTATTATCTATAATAGTTTATCTTATAGAAAAAAATCCAAATTAACTCCACGGAGCAAACATGGCTTTATTTACGTTTTGATTACATTACTTTTCCTGTGTAGGAGAGGTGTGTGTGATAATTTTAAGACATTATTTTGTGCAAGATATTTAGTGAAATTAAGACTATTCAGATCTATTTGGGATGCATTAATATAGCAGCATATTTGCTTACAATTACGTGTAAAATATATTTTGTGTATATATATGTATTTCTATATTATATATATAATTAAAACCTTTTAAGATAAACTATGTTTAGAAGCTTGGCTCTGAAGGAGTCACCAGTTTCAGGCCTAGGGGAAAAAATAATTTTTTTTTCTAAATATATAAATAAAATGTCATTAATATTTTATAGCTCATTGTATATGCAGGGTGGTCCTTCAGTGTATTAACTTTGTTGATCTTTATAAGCAGCTTGTGCAAAGGAGAAGGCTCAGAAATATCTTTCACCAGAGATATTAAGGAAAGGTAGGGGGTGTGGGTGGAGAAAGATTGTGAGTAACATTATTAATATAGGGAGATTCTTCTGGTAGAACCACAGCCAAGGATTCCTCATTTTTTACTAAAAGTAGGAAATCCAGATAAAACATTTCACAGTCCCAGAAGTCATTCACAGGCATTAAAAAAACCCCGCAGGTTTTTCTTTTTTTTTTGCTTCTTTTCTTTTTTATTTTCTCTTTTCCTTTTTTCTTTTCTTTTCTTTTCTCTTTCTCCCCTCCCATCCTTCCTCTTTCCCTTTCCCTGTTCTGTTTCCTTTTCCTTCCTTCCTTCCTTCTTTCCTTCCTTCCTTCCCTCTTTCTTTCTTTTTCTTTTTTTTTAATAGAAGGTAGTAAAGGAGTCACACCTCTGATCCTGACTGGCTAGAATAATTAGCAATTAAGAGCAGAGATAGCTCAAGTAATAGAAATATGGTTTGTGAAGTCCGCAGTTCAAAGACTGAGCGTGAACAATTTCAGGCAGAGACTAAAAGTCGTTATCAGCAATGACACAGGAAAGAGACAGTTTCTTTGTGGATTAATGTGGACCATATGGAATGTTGCAGGCTACCATGAAACCAAGATTTAAGGCAAGGAGTGATGCAGAAACAAGGGGACAGTCCAAGAGGAGGGTGTGTGTCAGAAAGATGGACATTTTTTTCACATTGTCTAAATCTCATTCTTCATTTATTATTTGTATTTGTTGAAGCTACTTCTTGGGGGTTAAATTATGTATAGGTCCCTTCTCTATTAATTTTTTTTGTTTGTTTGTTTTTGTTTTTGTTTTTGTTTTTTTTACCACAAGTCTCCAAGTTTTGTAATTGGTCAGTTATTTGTCAAGAATGGTACTTTAAACAAGTACATTTGTTTGCCACCCTGGTACTTTTTCTTAAGCCAAGGTAGGGTACACCAAGAGTGGTTGAGTGGTGCTCCTAATGGTCACCAAGAGTGGTTGAGTGGTGATGCTTACGGTCATTGTCTGACTTAGCGTGCTGCCACTTATAAATAATGCTATATTGTTTGAAAGTGCGTGGTATTCAATGACCAACTCTTTTTATTGCCAATGTAATCAAAGTAAACTCTGAATTCTTTTTCCGGAAATCCTTGGCCATTTAAAACAATGACAAATATTACCACAAAAGTAACTTTGCTTTTTCCTTAAATGTGTAGTGTTTTACATAGAAACTAAATTTATAAAAAGTTAGTTGCTTTACTAAAAACAACTTACTTTTTTATGAATAAAGTAGTGTATGTTTAATAGATGTAGGCTGATTTATTTCTTATCCTATTTTGCAGGTGTTCTGCTTTTTCACAAGTTGAGTCGTTTATTTAAAATAAAAGAATCTAAAAACGCTTGTTTGTGGGTAACATTGTCCTATGAATTAACCCTCTACTTATTTAACTTTTGAAAATCTGTCTTTTAAAGACAACTGCAAATGTCACTTGAGAAAATCATTTACTTACTAATCAGAATTAACCATAAAGTAATGAAAATATGTGTGTGGCATAAATGACTAATTTTGTATTTTTAATTAGATAAGCATCAAATACTTTTCAGAAGACATTGGTACAAAGATTATGATAGCACAATCATATACAAAAGTGTGCTACATGGGAACATAGACATATATTAAAATCTTATCATATGAAACATTTCTATGTTTTATAAATATTTATAGAGAAATATTTCTAGGTATTATTTCTAGGTTCTTCCCTGTGCCATTATTCATCAAGGTGTTTTGCTTTAATCTCAATCAATAGTCGTGACCAATTAGATAAAAAACATTTGCATTAACTGTTTAAAATATTCTTGCAATGTAGATAGAATACACACACACACACACACTCAAGTTGGTGCAAAAGTAATTGGAGTTTTTGCCAGGCAATTACTTTTGAACTAACCTTATATATTCTCTCTATATATATATCCTGTCCTTCAGATATGCTCAATATTGCTTCGAGTACATGTTTAGGAAATGCCACAGAAACTTCATATCAATTTTTTTGAAAAGATAAAATTAATACATTTTTAGAAAACTGTAACCCAAATGATCCCATTAAAATTCTCATAATAACTAATGCAGTATTTCTCAGCCTTGGCACTATTGCCATGTGGGGTCAGATGCTTCTTGGTTGGGGATGTGGAAGGGCAATTGACTGGGCATTTCAGGAACTTTGGCAGCATCACTGGATACCAGATGTGACATGCAACAACTAAGCACGTCTGGACATTGCAGCATATCCCCTGGGAGGCAGAATTGCCCCTGGTTGAGAACTACTAAATTAGATGAGGCAGTGGTTGAATATTTTTCTATAAATAATACAGCATACTCAAATAATTTTCCAGGAAAGTTTCACCACATGTTGAAGGTATAGATGACTGCAATTTTACACAAACATTTACAAATAATAAAGTGAAATATCAGTTAATGAGGCCAAAATAACTTTTTTTTAACAAAACAGCTACGCATACCATAGGAAAAGGACAATCCCAGGCCACTCTCATTTATGAAGATAGGTGCAAAAATTCTAAAAAAATTATAGACAAACCAAATGCAATGGTATTTAAGACAATATTATAACATGATAAACTTGAGTTTATCCTAAGAATACAAAGGCAGTTTAACATCAGAAAACCTTTACCATTTACCACATTTACAGATTAAAGTTACAAAAAAAGTTATCCCAACAGAAGCCAAAAAGGCATTTGTTAAAATGTTACACTCATTTAGGATAAAGACATTTAGCAAACAAAGAACAGAAGGAGGCTTCCTTAAAGTGATAAATTATATCAGCCTTGCTATATAAAGTACATCTAAAATTATATCTACCAAAAATCCACAGGAAACATTATTTTTATGTAAAAACATGGTCTTTTATCTAAAATCGGAATGAAAAGATTCACACCATAACCTTTTCTAAAAATCCTTATGCTGCAGCTCCATTCTAGGGGAATAAGGGAATATAAAAACACGTTAAGACTTTCAGGGTTATAAAGAAAGAAACTAAACTATCACTTTTCTTAAATGGTACAGATGCCTACATAGAAAATTCAAAAGATTATACACACAAATTATTTAAAAATATGAGTTTAGCAACCTAGCAACATATTTATAATACTATATTTCAGTGATAATTTTATAATGTAATTGAGAAGGACACCATTGAAAATAAGAATGAAACATAAAGGTACTATGAATAAATTTTCTAGCAGATTTACAAAACCAGTATTCACAAGATTATGAAACTTTAATGAAGGTCATTATGCAATCTAAATAAATGCAGACATCAAGATTACTGGATAAGAAAGAAATAGAAAGAACAAATCAGGAATAGATAGATATGCCCAATGAATGACTGGCAAGTAACTAGTACAGAATATATAAACAATTATTCTAAGAAAAAAATGTGCAAATATTTTGAATTGACACTTCAAAAAAGGAAAACAAAATAACAACTATACCTAACATTATAAAAATATTCAACCCCATTAATGGTAAAGACGATAAAAAATTAAAACCTTGATACTATTTGATACCTACTAAACTCGTATATATTATGACCTGTAGCAATAGCGAGAGGTAAAAATAAATTGATCATTAGGAAACTTTGTACCATGATGATAGTAGTATAAATTGATACGACCATTTGGAAAATAATTGGCACTTAAAAAAAAATTAATGTTCTTGAAATTCTACTACTATGGTATCTACATTCCTACAGAAAAGTGAATGTGTAACACAAGCTGACATGTGGAAGAAAGTTCATACAGCAGATTTTTTTATGGATATCTTAAAAAAAGAAAACAATAGGAATAAACGCACAAAGCACCCAAGAATTACCCGAATGTCTTACAGGAGAATGGACGCACACCTTGCAATATGTTCACAAAATGATATTTTGTATAGCAGTGAGGATAAATAAAACACAGCTATATGCAAAAACTTGATGAGTTTTAGAAACATATTTTTGTTTGAAAAAATGCAAATTCAAGTAGGACACTAGTTTTATAATGTATCAAGCAAGCAAACTCAGCTACAAACTTTAGACAAAATATATTTATGATGAATTTATTTTTCAATGCCAAGAATGATCAACCCAAAATGTAAGTGGTTATCTGTCACTGGGGGGAGGAAGAAGAATGCCGTAAGTTTACATGTAGGGGAAGAAAATCTTCAAATTTTTCATACAAGTTAATTTATATTCAGAGAATTATCATGCCACCTTTCTGACCACATGTGGGATTGATGTTATTACCACATGGTTCTCATTTTCTCATTGTTGATGATCTGGACAGATGACAAGTCAAATATTGACATTTCTTACCTATGTGAGAAAAAAACTGGTAATTCTTAGACATAATTAATTATTTTAGGGAATTTCCCATTAATTAGTGCTGAGAATTTGGTTAGTTATGCATTTTAACTGGGAGAAGAACTGACCTTTTTCCAAACTACCAAATGGTCTTATAGGTTTCCTGAGTTTATTATATCATTGCCAAGGTAATTTTAAAAATTTCACTGTTTGAAGTCAGACAACATTTAAAAAGTAGATAACAGCAGTGAATGTATTCTGTTAACATATTTTTCTGTTTTATTTTGTTGTGAATTTGTGTTAAATATAAATTTATGCACAGATGGATACAAGTAGTTATAGATGACTATGTAACTACAAATGGATTATCCTATTACAAATTCTGTAGCATTTGCAACAATACTACTGGTAAAAGAAAGTTCTTATTTTGCTGATTGTTTAGCATTTGGATTACAGACATTGATTACTGACTCCTCAAAATAATATATATGAAGAAAGTGAAATATTAAAATACGTATGTACATATGCTCTGTCTTTCTAAAAGAAACATATATTTTCTGATTATTAAATCATGGCTATGATTTAAAATCTTATGTCAAAATAAATGTGTAATTGGAGGCATGTTTTATTTAAATAGAATCACAGTCTAATTTATTTCCCTGTAGTGAAGCCAGTAACATTGGTGTTATAACTGAACCTACTGATGCTGAACTGTACACCAACTACACATATTCAACCTTTGGGGAGAGTGAGTGAATAATACAATTGTTACCACATTGCTTCATTTTTAATTCGGGAGTCAGATTCTAAATATGGCATAAATTTAGTACCTCCTTCCTTAGACATAAGCCTAGAATTTAGTGTTCTATTCACTTATACAGAGTCAGAATCCTTCATAAGGACATGCTTCAGGCCTGGTTAGAGGCAGCTGGGGGGATGGCTGTCATATTGTACCTGGGGAGGGTAGTCTCCATAGAGGGTCACTGGGCAGACCAGCCTGTCACTCAACACACGGTCCAAAGCCATCTTCATGGACAATGACCGATGACCTAGTTCCTTCATCACTAGGTGGGGGCATTTCTCAATGGTGACTAAAGCACCCTCAAAAATTGTTTTAAGGTTTCAGTTAGTCATATTAATTGATTGAGGTTAGTTTTGGGAAAAAGCTTTCTTCATCTCACAAGACCAAAAGCATCAGTCTCTGAGAACGTAACAAGACAGGGATTTAGATCCATAAATTAAGTATGTTGAGTCAGACCAAAACAACACGGAGTATCAAAGTTTTTAATTGAAACTGCTTTTGAAGTTATCCCTGTAACCCGATTGGACTCAGAGCCACGTAGAGACAGCTGGGTGTGCAAGTGGACTTTCGTTGCCAGCGGCAATGCTGAAGGACCACAGCAGACGGGAGAAGTCTGATGTTCACAAGAGCCCACTGGTTCTTATTACAGGTCTCTACCGTGTCTTCTGGAGCCTCTGATATGTCCTACTTTCTTGCACATAGCTCCCAGCGGAGTTTGATAACATTCTGTTTTCTTCGAGTGAATGCTATTATTCAGGAGTTTCTGTGATTGTCTGCCAAATCCTGCTAGTTTCAGTGGCAAGGCGTGACCTTGGACTCTCCAAAACTGGGTTCTGCTGCCTACTTAACCTCATCCGTCACCATTCTCCAGTATTCATCATCTTCTCCAGGTGGCATCATCTCCTCCTTGTACCCTCCAAAAGCTGTAATTAGTTTTCTCTTTGTCTTTGTTAATGCCAAGTTCTCTTGAAAAAAGTCTCCTTTCCCAAAACTAATTCAAATATTCAAACTTTATCACCTTGAATACATCACTTAGAATTTCTTATCCAGAGATTTACTGAGGCTATTCTTGTCTTTATTTTTTAAAGCATTTTTACTGAGTACCACTTTTTTTTTTTTCATGTCCTTCCTCTTTTTATTTTGTTTTTTTAAAACTCTTGGGCTCAAGTAATCCGCCCACCTCAGCTTCCCAAAATGCTGGGATGTATTTTTTTAAATTGCGGTAAAAATATACATAATATGAAATTTACTATCTGAACTATTTTTCGGCAGGCAGTTCAGAAGTGTTATGTATCTTCACATGGCTGTGCAATCAACCACATCATCCATCTCCAGGACTTATTTATTTTGCAAAACTAAAACTCTGTTCCCATTCAACAGTAACTCCCCATGTTCCCTTCCACAGCCTCTGGCAATCACCATTCTACTTTCTATCTCTAAGGATTTCACTGCTCTACAAACCTCATGTATTTGGGATCATTCAGTATTTCTCTTGTTGTGGGTGGCTAATTACGCTGATTATATTGTGCTTGAGGTCCATCTGTGTTGTAGCCTATGTCAGGATTTTCTTCCTTTTTAGGATAAATAATTTTCGTGTGAAGAGACCACCTTTTGCTTATCCATTCATCTGCCAAGGGACACGGGTTGGTTCCACCTCTCGTCTGTTTTGAATAGCTCTGATACACACGTGGACATGCAAATATCTCTGTGAGACCCTGATGTCGACTGTTTTGAGTATATCCTCAGAAGTGGATTCCTCTATTATATGGCAGTTTTATTTTTAATTTTCAGAAGAATCACCATACTGTTTTTCACAGTAGCCACCACGCACCATTTTGCATTCCCACCAAGAGTGCAGCGGGTTTGCCATCCCTTTACATCCTCGCCAACAGTTGCTATTTTGTTTTTATTGATTTATTTCTTTTCGACAGTAGTCATCTGCGTGGGTGTGAGGTGATGATATTTGCATTCCTCTAATGATCAATAATATCGAACATCTCTTCATATGCTTGTTGGCCAGTCCGCATACATTTTTGAATTAATGTTTCAATTTATTTCTTGTGTATTTATTTTGTCTCTTCAGGTGGACTGTAGACTCCTTTTAGTAACTGCCTCTGAGTCTGAGTCTCTGATGTGTTCTTTCAGCTTTCCCAAGATCTGTTTGGTGTCTGGGTTAGTCAAATGAGGATTTCAAGAAAGAATGAAAATTATATCTCAAAAAGTATTTCAAGAGAATTCCTACAACCATCTGAATAGTGTGTTGAGCATTTTTGCTGGCCCTTATAATTTAAACCCAAACTCACTGATAACTAGCTTTCTTCTCTTGGTCTGCTCTGTAAACTTTGCATTGATCTCCATAATACTCACAGTATAGAATCCTCAGAGCTCTGTTGAGGTCGCTCTACTTTCTATCATCTTTTGGTCTTTAATTATTACATACACTAGGAATTTCCAAATCTAAGTTCGTGGATTTTTTCTCTTTCATGAGACTTCCAAGATATTCAGATGCCTAAAACTCAGCAGAATTTAGACTTGAATCTGCCTTTCCTTCTACTCCAAACTTCCTCCTGTCTATCAAACATCTTCCTCACTTCTTTCCCCAGACTTTCCAGCTTATTTTGATTCCCAAGTCTTTTTTACTACTCAAATACAACCGCCAGTATGTCTTGTCATGTTTCTTTCCCTTAATACATTTTCTGTCTTTCCATAATCAATATCCAGCTCGGCCCTCCATCACCGCAATTCTGCGTACCTTTAAGCGTTTTGGGCTCTTACACTTATTTATGGCTCTATCTTGGCTTCGATTTGTTCTGAATAATGATGCTGTCAAATCTTCGTTCATAAGGGATTTTTTCTAACATGCAATTTTCAGGGAAAGTAACTTACCAAAGTCCTTTGCTTATCACATCATGATGGATATCTTCAAATGTTTTTAGGAATGACATGTGGAACAGATATGTGATTCAGTCTGCAAAGTTCTAGATAGGATAACTTGGACAACATAGTATAAATCATCACACCCTTTTCATTTGATATATGAGATATATTTTTTAATTGTTTAAAGGTATTTATAAAGGTAATTGGTTACAGAGAGGTGATGATTTTATTTTATTTTATTTTATTTTATTTTATTTCATTTTATTTTTTTGAGACGGTGTCTCACTCTGTCCCCCAAGCTGGAGTGCAGTGGTGCGACCTCAGCTCACTGCAAGCTCCGCCTCCCGGGTTCACGCCATTCTCCTGCCTCAGCCTCCCGAGTAACTGGGACTACAGGCGTCCACCACCACGCCCGGCTAATTTTTTGTATATTTTAGTAGAGACGGGTTTTCATAGTGTCAGCCAGGACGATCTTGATCTCCTGACCTCGTGATCTGCCCGCCTGGGCCGCCCAAAGTGCTGGGATTACAAGCATGAGCCACTGCACCCGGCCATGATTTTCAAATAAAGTGCAAATGTGCTTTGAAAACGGTATACATAATGAAGACCTTACTAACTGATTAGAAGTGAAATTAATCCTCCACTAATTCCTTCAAATTGTAAAATCTATGGAGTCATTGTCTTCATCTGTTATGAACAATTACTTTCATGTCTCACTATTTCTTGATTTGGTCTTCCTCAAAGAAAGCCATACTCTCAACAGAGTCCTGAGAGCGCCTGACTTTCTGGGAAGCTGCCTTAAGCTATCTCAATCCTGAATGCACACCCATCATCTATAACCTAATCCAAACCATTGTTTCAATGTTTATATCTTTCCAAAAAGCTTTCATAGAATGTTTTGGATACAAATAAAGGTCCCACTATCTGTGAATTAGTTAACACCTATTATCACAGCTTCATTTAAGTTGCAGTTTCCAATTCCCTAGCTACATCATCTGTGTATGTCATTTCTCCCTGTCTGTGTTGATGAAGGTCGGTATTGGATTCTCCACTGATTCTGTGTCTGCCAAACTGCCTATCACAGTGTGATATGCGGTGACTCACATGTGTATATTTAGTGGATAGATGGTGAAAAGTGGCAAGATCCATATTGGAACATTAGTTCTTGATGACTTAGTCATTAGAGTGAAGTCACACTTTTAAATATGTGAGAATTACTAATCTGTACATTATTTAATAGAGGAAAATATTTTGAAAAAATGAATTTAACAAATATAAGTTAAAATATTTTTTAAAATGTGAAAACTGTCTTTGTCATGATGGTTGGTTGGGCATGATGTAGATAACTGTGAATTCCTCCAGTACAACATGATAAGAGTAATCTCAGCAAAGAAACATCAAACTACAAGGGTACCGAGAAAGCAATGGGTTATTCTATCTGTCAGAGTTAGGCAAGAATTCACAGAGGAATTCTTTTGAATCATAGTTTTATCAAGATGGAAGAGGGAAGTGATTTCAGAACAGGGAAAAAATAAGAGTGAAGCCTGGTTTATATGTGTCTGTGTGTTGGGGGGAAGGAAGCAAAAGTGGATGAAAATAAGTGACTTGAAAAATAAATAGGGAGTATATTATACTTTGATTGGAAGAGAATATTTAGGAATTGTGGAATGTTACCTGTAAAAATAGGAAGTGAAGAGAGATTCTTAAAGTAGAAGAGCCAGACAATCCCATTTACCCAGGGTAATTTTGAAGACTGTAATGATTTGATTCAGGTTTTAAATGACTTTTAAAAACAACACATACTCACTGGAAGAAGCAGATAAAAACTGTTGTGTTTGCAAATTTAGCATCATCAAATTGCTGATGGGGCCAGATGTGGTGGCTCACACCTGTAATCCTAGCACTTTGGTAGGCTGAGGTGGGAGGATTGCTTTGAGCTCAGGAGTTCAAGACCATCCTGGGCAACATGGGGAGACCCTGTCCCTACAAAAGAATTGAAAATCAGTCGGGCATAATGGCACATGCCTGTGGTCCCAACTACTCAGGAGGTTGAGGCGAGAGAATTGCTTGAGCTAGAGGGATCGAGGCTGCAGAGAGCTGTGATTGTGGTACTGTACCCCAGCCTGGGTGACAGTGCAAGGCTCTGTCTCAAAAAAAATAAAAATTAAAAATTAAAAAAAACTGATTGTTTCCATGAACAGGATAAAAATGAAAAAAATTGACAAAGACTGCAGAAGAAACACAACAAGTTACATGTGTAGATAACTGTTGATTCTGAAGATCAATTCTTGCTTTTTTGAAATTGTGGCACACTTGTTGTACAACATGGCTTCCTATATAAACACTGTTGGTACAGAATGTCACAAATATCTTAGACCATCAAAAGATAATATTTTTATTTTGAATATCATATTTTAGTACTCAAAACATTTATTATGAAGCGTGTGCTTTACAAAAACAAAGTATATTACATCAAAATAACTTTTTGAATCAAAGAATGTTACTGTGTTTGAAACAACAAAAGAGTGTTACAATGTTACAATGTTTTGTTGTTTTGAAACAAGAATGAATGTTACAATATTTTTGTTTTTTATTTTAATATTTATTGAGTGATCCAATTTATTGTAAAACCAATTAGTCAAAATCAGAGGCGAAAGACAAACTCCAAAATTCAATATAATTATGTTTGAGATGGTTTATCTGTCAGATTACAAAAATAATAACAGAAATGAAAAGTGTAGATTGTTCCTCTCTCAAAATTAATCGCTCTTTCTTGAACTTTAAGAAAAAATACATTTGAAAAATCCATCTAGATCTAAGAACTGTTAAAGAAATATTGCCCAAACACTTCTCCTCTTGGAGAATAAAGAAATGGTGATAAAATTACCTGAAGAAAAAACAATTTTTAACCATGACCTCTAAGCCTTACCTGACACATGGTACAAGCTGACACATGGTACAGAGATTATGATTTAAAATTTTTTTGCCCCCTCATTTTCTATGTTGAAGCATTACCACCTGTGCTGCTACCCTGGAGATTTGTGAGCAAAACATGCATATTTTAATTGGTTGATTTGATCTTGTAAGGTATTGGTTTGTTTTATGTGTTAAAGAACGTAAGAACCTCTAATGCCTAAGTGAGAATTTGTCCCAGAAATAAACAGAATCAAAACACTGACCTGCCTCTCTAAACTTCACGAGGCTAGTTGATACTGTGTGGATGAATTTTCAGTTTGATTTCTGCAAAGCTAATTCAAGTGCCTAGGTTAGCAAACAAAGTGGGGACACAGACCATGCCCTTCCCAACTCTTGTATATTTATAATTAAAGAGAATCAAAGTACATATTTTACACATAATTGGAATTTCTTAACTCATGTAATATAACTGTATATTTCCACTCAATTTGCATATTTTAAAAATGTGAAATTACATGGGCACGTCAGAAAATAATTCAGATTGAAGCCATATCATTTTACTCTGCATTTTCCACTCAATGGACTGTTAACTGCTCACACTATTTCTGTTCTTGTCCTTCTCAAATACGCTTTGACTAGGGTGGCCAGGATCTTCTTAAAGAGGAAATAGGTCAGTCAATATCTTGCTTCCCACACTCCCCTGACCCCTCCCTGCTCTCACAGGGGGAGCCAAGACCTCCTCAGCAGCCCCCGGTAGTTCACATGCAACTTTTCTGCCCGGTTCTCCTACCTCAGCTCTTGTCTTCTCTGACGGGAGTGCAGGCACATGGATCTTTCAGTTTTCCCAATCTTCCCAATAACCCTACTCTGAAGATTTTTCAAGTTTTCCCAATCTTTTTTTAAATTTATATTTTAATTGACAAATCAAAATTGTATATATATTTATGGTACACAACCTGATAGAAATAGGTATACATTGTGGAATTGCTCAGTGGAGCTTATTCACTTCCATGCTACATCACATGTGAATTCTTTTTTGTGATGAGAACACTTAAAATCGACTCTATTAACAGTTTTCAAGTAGGCAGTACACTGCATACTCCACACGTACTCTCTGTGCTGTACAATAGATCACTTGAAATTATTCCTTGTCCTCTGATTTTAATTCTGTAACATTTGGCCAGTATCTCCCAATTCCTTCCCACTCACCCCCAGCCCTTGTTAATGGCCGTTCTACTCTCGGCTTCATTGAGTTCAACTATTTTAGATTCTACATGTAAGCAAGATCATGTGATATTTGTCTTTCTGCGCCTGGCTCATTTCATTTAATGTGATGTCTGTTTCATTCATATTGTCACAAATGACAGGACTGTCTTCTTTTTAAAGGCTGAATAGTACTCCATTAGGTATATAGATTACGTTTCTTTATCGATTCACCTGTTGAGGGTCACTGAGGTTGTTTCCATAGCTTGGCTATTAATGAATAGTGCTGCTAGAGACATGAGCTTGCAGATACCGCCTCGACATATGGACTTCTCCTTTGGATGCATACCCAGTAGGATTGCTGCATCATATGGTTGTTCTATTTTTAGTTTTTTGAGGAATCTCGATATAATTTTCCATATTTGCTTTACTAATTTACATTCCCACCAACAGTGTACGTGGATTTTCTTTTCCCCAAGAAGCAAAAATAGACAAATGAATGGCATCAAACTAAAAAGCTTCTGCACAACAAAAGAAATAATAAAATAAAGAGGCAACCCGCAGAGGGGGGAGAATTATTTGCAAACTGTGCATCTGATGCAGGGTTAATGTACAACACGTAGAAAACATTCCTATGACTCAATAGAAAGAAAACAAATAACCTGATTTAAACATGGACAAAGGACTAGAATAACATTTCTCCAAAGAAGACACACAAAAGTTTAACAAGTATATGAAAAGAGGTTCAACGTCAGTAATCATCAGGAAAATGCAAATTAAAACCACTGAGTAACATCACGTTACACCTGTTTCAATAATGTTTGGCACCTTTTGCCAAAAATATGAAATATAAAAAAGCATTCCCCTGCACTTCTTGACCCACAGGCCACACACTTTTTAACCTTCCCATTCTCAGATTTCAGATCGAATTTATCATGAGAAGATTATCTGTTTCTTTCCACCCCATTATCATGAGGCTTGATCCTGGAGTTCAAGCACTGATTACAGCTACGTGTTTATGTAAATGTGCTTGTATAAATGTTTATGCAAGTATGCGTTTTCCCGATAAGACTGACAACTGTGTGAGGGCAGGGAATATCCCTGTCATACTCAGCACAGTGTCTGGGTAGTCACCAGGTGTCTATACCATCGATCAGTTTTTTGTCAAACCATTTGTGAAAATGTTTGTCTTTTTACTAGAGAACAAGTGAGTATGCATATGCCACTTGTTGATGAGAAGTGGGCATGGAGTCATATTTGTAATAACTATAGGACAGCTGTATTGGGAAGCATTTTGGAATCTTTGAAATGTTGCATTTATGAACTCATTGCAGTTAAACTTTTCCTGTCAAATTTCCCACTCTGCAAAGTCCAACAAATAGAGTTTTGGAAATTATTGAAATCCATTTTCTAGTGTACCAGTCACTCCAGAGCTTCACTAGTAGCTCAAAGTCAACAGTTCTGACTATTTCTATATTTCCCCAACTCTATTATGTTCTGACATCAGTGCACCAATGGGTATTTTTAATTATTAACTTAAAATTCTTTGTTGCTACTAAAAGGGATAAAATTTTAATCATTTGGAAATTAATACTTTTTGATGTAATATTATTCTAACTATTTTTGAGTACAAAGATTGCATGAGGGAGGATGAGTCACAAAGGCCAATAAAACTACTGTTGAAAACAGATTAAAATTAATAAAAACAAAATTTAGATAAGTAGGTAGCTGACATTTGGGAAAGAGGAAAAACAAGCAAGGTGAAAATTGTAATGTTAATATATATTTTTTAGCTTCGAATGTAGATTTCCTGTGTGATTAAAATTCTGACACTTTGTAGTTGTGTGTGTGTGTGTGTGTGTGCACGCGCCACTGTGTGAGAAACTTCTCTCTAGATCAGATCACACTTATCTTACTCTGCTCAGGCGTAAAGTCAAGAAATCGTTCATACCCCTAAAGAAACCACTGCTCTATTTTAAATGAGGTGAAATAATTCATGTGCTTTTATTTGATGCCTCCGTCAGATACTCTGACACTGCCAAGGTATTTAGGGGACTTTTCCTATCTTTGTTCTTTGTCATGCTGACAGAAAGAGGAATTTGGTACTGTAAGTTACTAGCCATTGTTTTTTTTGTCACCATTCTGTGCTTTGTAAATCTCTTTTCATCCAACACATAAGAAAATACCTTGCCTTAGTATTACTCATCATAGAGAAAAACACTATTTTTATATGAATTCTTCAACCTGTCATATTTCCCAGTAAAGAATACACTACATCAAGTCCCAGCAGGTGTGCTTTCACTATTTTACAAAAACAAACAGTGGAAAGTAACTTGTAGAGTCCATGAATATGGTATCCCCCAGTGAAGATAGGACTATACCACCAGATTTGTCCTTATATTTATAAAAAATAATTTTATTTATTTATTTATTTTGAGACAGGGCCTGGCTCTGTTGCTCAGGCTGTAATGCAGTCTCAGGATCAGAGCTCACTGCAGCCTTGAGCTCCTGGGCCCAAGCAGTCCTCCACCTTCAGCCTCCTGGATAGCTGGGACTACAGGTGTGTGCCACAATGCCTGGCTAATTATTTTTAATTGTTCATACAGACAGAGTCCTGTTATTTTGGCCAGGCTGGTCTCCAATTCCTGACCTCAAGGTATCCTCCAGCCTTGGCCTGCTAAGGTGCTAGGGTTATAGGTATGAGCCACCAGAGCCGACAACAAAAATAACATTTAAAGAAAATAAAACACAAGAGAAAATAATAATTTGAACAAAAAACCTAGTCAAAATAATAGTGTTTTATGTATTATTTTTATTTAGCAGCAAAGCTGTTATAAAATCCATTTAATATATTTTATTTGAGTGTGTTTTAGGGACAACACATATAGACAATTCCAATATGGGTTTTATCAGGTCCTGCCTATTAACATTGATGTTTAATGAATTACAGTGAAATATTTACTAGTCATAGACAATGGTTAATAATGTCCATAACTAGCTCTTGAATTAAAATGCATCCCCAGGTAATTTAGTGTTGACAAATATATCAAATAAAGTGTTTCACAGGTAGGTCTACTTAAAATGCTTATGAATTTCTACCTCCAAACATTTATTCACGAAGGTACAATCCATCCAATAGAAGTGTAATTGGAAAAGGTGGGCAAAGTTTTAAAGCCTTGAAATAATAAGATGTTCTGGACAAAAATCCTTCTATTTTTTTCTATTTATATCAATTTGAGTACATCTTCAATTTTAAAAATTATACTGCTGCCCACTCTAAAAACCTTAACCAGGCCGATTTACTATTTCAGTTTTTTCCTGTCCCTGTTTGTTTATTCACAATCCCATGCACACATTTTAAAATTGAAATTTCAAAGATAAAACATCTGTTATCTGATGATATAATATCTGTGGGCACATTTTAACTAATCTTTATTATATGGAAGCATAATAATTTCTGCCTCTCAACTTAATGTGATTTTCAGGATCTAGATGTAGCAAGAAAGATTATGTGGAACAGGACAGAAACCATTTTTATAACTGTAATTACCTCCACTCCTTGCCTATGATGATTTCAATTTCCCTTTGCTGTTTCTTTGATTAAGTCTTCACTCCCTAATGCATTGCACTTTGGGTTCCTATTATTCCTGGCTGTTTTTGCTGATTCTTCCATGAAGCTGCTGAAAAGGCAGTGTAAGTACTAACTGTTCTGAGCGGCAGCGTGGCATCCAGGAGCATCCTGCTGGGGAGGAAGACAGCCCAGAAATTGCATGAGTTCTGCTTCTCATGTGAAGACGTTTGAATCTGCTTTTGGTAAACAGCAGGCCGAGCACTCTCTCAAGTTGCAATTCCTATTCTTGTATTCCTCGTCTTTCTTTCTAATCACAGAAGAACTTCTCAGATTTTATTTTCTTCTATCAAAATGCCTGCACGCCATTCCTCAATCCTAACAAGAACTAAAAATATGTAAAACTCGTTTCTTTAGTTACAATGGTGATATCATCGAGAGAGAGTGAATCCACATTTTGGAGAATGAGAGCAAATGAAAATAGGCTTATAGACTTTTTGCTGAAAATATTGAAATTCAGAAAAAAGTGTATAACCTTATAGAGTTGTATTCATTCATTCGTTCATTCATGAAACACATGGCTTAATGGATTCACACTGAAAGACTTAGTTTCTGATTTCTGGTAACTGTTAGTCTTCTGCAAGCATTAGAAATGAACCGGTAACTTCAACACAGAGTAATAGGGCTTTTGAGGTGCATGTGCAGGAGGTAAGGATACACACAGGGCGATGTCTCCACCCAGAGGGCGCAGGGGCATTTCCTAATGAGACCTCTGCCTGAGCTCAGTCATGGGGAACAATTTCAGGTTGAGGATATCTAACTGAAGAAGAAAGGTGTGGGGCAGGAAGAACTCTGGATCCAGGGACCACATATGGGAAGGCAGAGCTGTGAAACAGCATGGCCCATCTGGGGAATTTAAAATCCTCACCTGTGACTGATACACATATTGAAAGTGGTGAGCTATAAGGAATGAAGGCAGAATCCTGATCATGGGGCCTGTTGTGATATGGGATTTTAAGTTTATCTGCATAAGTGTGTATATAGAAATCCTTAAGTTCTAGATAGATATGTATAGATAGATGATGAATATAGACAGATGATTGATAGATGATAGATATAGGCAGGTAGATGGATTTAAATAGATGATTGATGGATGATTGCTGATTGATACATTATAGGTAGATGATAGATACAGATAGACATGATTGATGTAGTATAGTTAGATGATTGATTGATTGATAGATGGATGATAGGTGATTGATACATGATAGGTAGGTTTATAGATAATAGATGATTGATAGATGATACCTATAGTATAGGTAGGTAGATAGATATAGATAGTTTATAGATATATAGATGGATGAAAACTGATTGATAGATTATAGATTATAAGTAGATGGATCATAGATGATAGGTCAATAATTGATCAATAAATACATGATATATAGATAGGTAGATAAGTGAAAAATAAAAAGGTAGACATTATATTGGGCCTGTGTCCTTTCTTTGTCCATGTTGCAGTCTCCATCTCGTTCCTAGTAGCAACTTAAGTCAGCTCAAAGCCCCGGAAGCTCTCTCTGATAAGCTCTTCGTATTTTCTATAACTCAGTGGAGTGTTGATGTGAATACAAGCTAGAGGTTTGCAAAACTACATGAAATGATAGAATGCCTTCCTGAATTATTATTCTTGATGGCTTCATAAAACAATATTTTCATATCTATACAAATAATTTTGAATTTAATACATAGGGCTGCAAAACAAGGTTGATGTTGATATGGACAACTGTATGTTGGATGGTCCCAAAGCATTCTGTGGGGAAATATTTATTTTTTTCTGCCTTGGGGGATGTCTGGATAAAAATGTTGGAGGAGCTTTGCTTCTGAGCTCAGGCAGCCTCTTCTGTTTCTTGTTAGCCTGGCCTCTTCTCAGAGTCACTGGGCCAGGAGTTCCTTGTCAAAGGTCTCTCCCTGGTGCTCACGGCTGCCGCCTCAAAGTTCTCAGTTCATGGAGACCTTCTTTGCATTCATGCTAGAACACATTTATCTCATCATCAAAACCTTCATTTTTTTTTAAAAAAAAAGCATAAACGTAAGTAACTGTTGAGTGAGAGTGACTGTGTGGGCAAAGATGAATACATTGTGATTCTGCCTATTATGAAATTTAAAAATGTAACAAATGAAAACCCTACTTGAAATGATGCTTCTCTGCCTCAATGTATCTTTGTAAATATCTATAGTACAAATTTTTAATCAAAATAAATGTATCGGGCTCACATCTAGGTCCCTTTAGAAGGAAGAGAGGAAGAAAGCAATAAGGATAGTTGTAGTTATAAGTTAGTATATCTTTTCACCACCATCTGTGCATTCATCCATTCTTCCATCCATCCATTTATCTTTCCTTCCTTCCTTCCTTTCATCTATCCATTTATTTGACAGGCATTCGGAAAGTACATTGTGGTTGTGGGGTCTGCACTTGGTGCCGGAGAGGCTTGTTGCAAAACTTCCAGTATTGTATGTATCAAAGTGCTACTTTTCGAAAGTATTTTTCTCTCTGTCTTGAAGTCACAGAGCAACTGCTGGCATTTACTTACCTTCTGCACTGACAGTTCTCTCCTTGTTGGCTTTGAAATTAATTTTCTTTATCTTGACACAAAGACCCAAAATATGACTTTTTTCCCCATAAGGTCAGATGGCGAGGAGGAAGCAGCACTTACAGTTTACCAAAATGGGGGATACTATATTTAAACGGCATATTAATGCATGATTATACAGCTGGACAGGTTGTGCTCCTCTGAGAGAATGTTGCTGTTGCTTTTCTAAAATTTACTAGTGCCGTCATATCATACTTAGTGGGAAAACATGATTCAGAAGACAGAAGAGAGGGAGGGAGCAAGGAAGAAAGGAAGGGGAAGAAAGAAAAAAAAGTAAAAAAGAAAAACATATACCAGATAGAGAACATATCCATACAAGTATGTAAGGTGATTAATTACTTCAAGCCGCAAAAGAAAGTGCTATTGATTACCTGATTCCTTGAAGTTAAAAAGAAAATCTTTTAACTCATCAGCAAAGAGAAATGTTTATTGTAAGTTTCTTTTATAATCCCATCTTCAATTCCTGCATTTTGGCTAGATACATGTTATGTACCTATAATAATTTAATTCACTATTAGGCAGCAATTTTAAGCCATAGTAAAAATTAATATTGCATTTTCCTATGTTTGAGGCGTCGACAGGACCTGTAGTTGAAAATTTGAACCAGGGAGCACAGGGAAGGGGTAAAACTCTATTGAATATTTAAAAATTTACCTTTAAGTCAGTGTAAGCTTGGATTATTTTAAGGATCGTACTTAAGGCTGATCACTTCTGTGCCAGCACATGGTGTGTTGCTGGCATTTACTGTGTCATTCATTCCTGCAGCCTTTACCAATTTGTCCTGAAAGTGCATAGAAACACGTCAACTTGCTACCCTGTTGGGTCTATTTGCCAAAATCCTGCAGTATCATATTTCTAAGACAAGAGCACACGTCACAAGCTTTATTTTCTATTAGCTTCTAGGTGAATACGTTCATTTATATCTCATTTTAATTGAAATAGGCCTTAATGAGGTAGTATATTATTTCTCTTTAAGACAAACTGGCAGAAAGATTTTGGAAGTCTTCGTGTCTTCACCTCACAGAAGGAACAAACTCTGTCTGTAGATATTCTAGTTTCTGAAATCAGACTTTGAGTGTTTTTTTTTTTCTAGAAATATGTCAAGTGTGTAGTTACTTGGTACCAAATGTTACTTTTTAAGACAATTTTATGTAAAATTCACTTTTTTTTAAAACCAGAGAAGTTATATTTAAAAGTCTTCCCAAAATAAAATGAAGGGAGCAAATTCAAAGTTTACAGTTTTAATTATAGCAAAGCTATCTCTATTGCTGTAATCAATTTATCTAGAAGCAACAGAAATGTGATTAAACATTGAAAGATTCCAAATGAAAATTGCTTTAATAAATGCATTCATGCTATTGTTTAATATATACCAAAGAAATGTTAGCAATATGCATTTTATTTATTAGTAGCTATGTGAATCTCTCAAATTATTGTGGTTTTAAATTTTTTCCTGAATTTTAATAACTAATACATGTTACACAAGAATTTCTTACATAAGCATCTTAATGTCCAAGGGACATTTCTAAAGTACATATCTCCATATAACAATCAATAAACTTTGAAGTTTTGAAAATCCCCTAAAAATATACTGCATTTTAAAACTCTTAACAAGCTAAAATGTTTGCAAATGTCTTTCTGAGCCTCACCACCCTTTCTGTGGTAGCCATTCTCTCCAAATTGCTTATGTGAGGAGATGGTACTGGGAACAGCTCAATAATTCAATCCTGGTTAGTTTTGCTTTACATAATCTTAAACACAAATAGGTATCTAATCCCTTTTTCCAAAGGAGGTAGATGTTTTATGGTTGCAGGACACAGCTAGTTTATAACGTAGCTATAAACCAGACTTTTTTCTTGAAATCAGCTATAGTCTGGGTGATCCTCCAAGGCAGTCACCTTGCGTTGGATGGTTCATGGATACATAACATAATAACATGTGTTTCCATGATTGCTGGGACAGACGGTGGGCAGGCTGGGCGTTTGAAATTGGCAACTAAAGGTAACCAGCCAGCAAAGACCCGAGTCAGTGTCACTCAGGAAGTATTAGCTAAAGTGAGTTACATGATTATGCCTAATATCAAAGGGATGGGATGTTTACTCCTCGTAGCGACCAGAAGGAGAACTATGTCCTGATCAGAAGGAGAGAACAAAAGTAATGTCAAACACAGAAATGTTAAAATTGAAGGAGAAAACAATATTCTAAAAAAAGGGGAGTGAGTTATATTTCAATCTTTTAGGACTGCCCCAAATAACTTTATTTCATATAAGACACAAATTAAGGTAAAACGTAATAAAACCAATCATATCAGGCTAATGGAAAATGAAGATATCTATATAATTGCCTGAATTTCCAAGCCAATTATTACAGATAAGTCAAGGATTTGTAAGGGCAGATTTCCTTTTTCTCATGTCTCCCATTGATAATACATATATTGTCTTACTGTTTTTATTTTTAAATCAAAGTTCCATAAGCTTCTGTAAATTTCCAGTTCTGTACAATGTCAACCACTGTGTTAGATGGTGGGATACAGAAAACTAGACATACAGTAATTCTGGGAACCCTTTATTAAGAAATTAAGATCTATCCTGTATTTACAATGGTCACACATCAAATAAATGTAAATTTCACAGCTGAAATTGCTTTCCTTAATTTATGTACTTTAACACTTTCTAGCACCTGGTAACCTTTTGTATCTAAAAGTAACAATTATATGGTATTATCCACAATATAAACGACCTAAACATTGATACCTGGGGTAGGAAATATTAATGTTTCTGGGTTTGGTAGGAACCAGTCTTTGGAGAGACAGGTGATAAATGTAATTGTGTTCTATCCTTGCCAATCCTAGCAGGGGATCTTAAACTAGAAAGAATATATGCTGCTGCAAGGAATTGGCTTACTCAGCTGTATGCTCGGCTGTAGTTTTGAACAATTTTCAGCACAGCTGTGCTGAGTAAACTAATAAGCTAACAGTATGTCAAATTTCTCTTTAAGCGCCACTTCTCAAAATGATGTGTGCATGTATATGTGTATATATATATGCGTGTGTGTGTGTGCGCGCACCTATGAATGAAATCAGAATTACATTATTACAGTGTTCAGAATTGGTGTTAATATCACACCAATTGCATATGACACTTTTACATGAAATAAATTTTGTTTTAATATTTGTGTGATTAGTTAGCACGAGATGCCTAATATGTGAAAGGACATTGATTGCATATTGGAATTGGAGAACGTCTGTCCATGCCTACGTTTTATGTGATATGAATCTAGAACCTAAACCAATCAACGCAATTGATGTAAGGTCACACAAAAACAGTGACAGAGCTAGGGCGAGAAACAAGCTCTTTTTCCTTGGCCCTGTGGGGTTTGCTTCTGCACCGTGCACCCCTGTTCCTTTCTTCATTCACCTCATCAGTGCTTAACGTGAATAAAATGTTAAAATTCCTGATCTCACAACAGAAAACTGTAGCTTCACTCAGGAACTAAATTAGCTCTTGCAATATACTTTTACTACAATAGCTGGAGAATCTACTGATTCTGTGGTGCCAAGTGCCTTTGTAAAAACTTAAATTTGCCAATGGGGATGTTTTTGGCAGTGAGGGAATGTGGTTGTGGAGGTGGCTGAATTCTCTCTCCCACCATCATCTCCTGTGGCTTATAATAACCATGGCTTAGGGTGAATGTCACCCCATTTGTCAAGTGCGGGCTCCAGAAAAAATAAAAATAAAACAGAAGCTGAAGTTTTCTGGGAGATGTGTAGAATGATGTGTCAGTTAATTGAATCAGATGAAAATGGTGACAAATGATGAAATCATTTGTAGACAAATGGACTGAACACACCTTGAGACTAGCTTTTTTCCTTTCTACACTGAGGTGAGTGTTACCTAGTGCTTCTGAAATATCAAGACAGGAGTTCCCTGAAATATCCAGCATCTCATTTTTCACGACCCTATGCATAGTTAGATATATCTTTGTGAATTAAACTTCTAATAGAAATGCCTATTTCTTGAATATCTGTTATTTAGGAGGAGTCCTTTAATAATTGTAGTCCTTGCTGGGGCTGCCATAACAAACTGTGATAGGGTAGGTGGCTTAAAGAGTAGAAATGTGTTGCCCATGGTTCGGGAGGCTGGAAGTCCACAACGACGGTGTCTGCAGGTTTGGTTTCTCTGCAGCCTCTCTCGCTGGCTTTCAGACAGCTGCCTTCTCACTGTGTCCCCTCGTGCTCTGTTCCCTTTGCAGGAGCTTCTCTGATGTCTTTCTCTGTGTGTCCACATCTTCTCCTTTTATAAAGACACCAGTGGGACTGAATTAAAGCCCATCCTAAAGGCCTTTTTTTGTTGTTGTTTAGATAGAGTGTCACTTTGTCACCCCAGGCTGGAATGCAGTGGTGCAATCTCGGCTCACTGCAACCTCTGCCGCCCGGGTTCAAGTGACTCTTATGCTTCAGCCTTCCAAGTAGCTGGGATTACAGGCATGTACCAACCTGCCTGGCTAAATTTTTTATATTTTTAGTTGAGATGGGGTTTCACCATGTTGGCAGGCTGGTCTCGAACTCCCAACCTCAGGTGATCCACTCACCTCAGCCTCCCAAAGTCCTGTGATTACAGGAGTGAGCCAGCACCTAAGGGCCTCATTTTAACTTAATTACCTCTTTAATGGGCCTATGTGCAAATAAAATCCTATTCTGAGGCACTGGGGATTATTATTTCAGTGTATGAATTCTAGGGTGGCACAATTCAGCTGAATTAAAACCCTGAGTAACAATGAATTCCTGTCAGCCCCTTACTATGAGCCAGTTACTTCTCAGCGCGTTTGTGGATAGCCTCTTTCGTAAATGATCGTGCACATCTGCAAGACTGGAATTAGAATTGTTATTTCAGAGAGAAGAAGCTGAAGTTCAGGAGGGCCAGTAACTTGCTCAGGCTCACATAATTATTTCATAAATATCTCTGAGCCCCTATGGTGCACTTGGAACAATGTTAGTAGTTATCGATGTATCAGAGACAATCAGGGAAAGCCCCAGCTCTTGCATAGTCAGAGAAGATAGTAAATAACTAAATAACCACAGACAGTGATACCGGATGGTGGCAAAAATTCCGTAGAAAAATAAAGGGGATTGTGCACATATGGGAGGTCAGGACAGTTTGTTCTGATGAGTGGGGTTTGAGCTGAGATCCAGTGGAAGCAAGAGAGCAAGACATGCTGGTCAGCTTCTTGGTGACGGGCACTCCAGGCAGTGCCAATGGCAACGGGAAAGTCTATGTGTGCGTCCCACGTGGGCAGAGGCTGGGGTGGAATAGCAAAGTGGGCTGAGGATGAGGGCTAAGAATGGAGCTCAGAGAGGCCACAGGAGCCAGGCCTGGTGAGCATCCTGTATCAGGGAAGGATTTCTACTTTTGCCGCTGAGGATGTGGGGTGTGACTCGGGAGCTTTACACAGACTTGGGTCTGAAAGAATCACTGGAGATGTAGTGTGGAAAACACTTAGAAAATGATTTTCATCTGTTAGAGCTGCTGGACATGACAAGGTGGGATCTTTGGGGAATCTTGGTAGAATTCTGGGTATATCTTGAAGGCAGAGTTTGGAGGATTTGCTGGTGAGTGTGAGAAGGAGAGGAGCCAAGTTGGAATCCAAGGTTTCAGTCTGAGCAAATGGACAAATGCATTTGCCAAGTCCTATTTATGTTAACTTGCAGATAAGTATCATCTGACATATCTACTCCCTTAGCCCTAGTTCACAGTGTCATCACCACTTACCTGAGTAATTATACCAATGTAGATGCCCTGCCTGTTGTCTTTCGTCAGTTTAGGATGCCATGAAGAACCTCTAAGAACTATTTAGTAAGGCATAACTCTTACATGCTAGTTGTTGCCCCTTTCCAACTCACTTGCTCTCGGAAAAAAAGGACTGGCATCGCAGAGCTAAGCTACAAAGCAAAGACTTGAGCCCCAAGCCTCAGTTCTTGAGTCCTACATTAAACTTTCACACTGTGCCTCACTGACAGTTGCTGGGGCAGTTTGGCAGGGATTTATACTAAGATTAGATTAAATAATGCATTTGGCCGGGCGTGGTGGCTCATACCTGTAATCCTACCACTTTGGGAAGCTGAGGCTGGCAGATCGCTTGAGGACGGGAGTTCGAGACCAGCCTAGCCAAGATGGTGAAACCCTGTCTCTACTAAAAATAAAAAAAAATTAGCCAAAAAGCACTTGAACGTGGGAGGTGGAGATTGCCCTGAGCTGAGATTGTGCCATTGCACTCCAGCCTGGTGCAACAGAGTGAGTGTCTATCTTAATAATAATAATAATAATAATAATAATAATAATAATGCATTGAAAGCAAATAACACAGCCCTATTTTTTTCATTAAAAGGAATGCTGAAGCATGTCTTTTAGATACGGGATGTCTACTGCTTTGAATCTTTATAAATGAAAATAGTATGTGCTCTAGCTGAATGCTTTTTAGTTTTAAACTTGGGTCCAAGTAAATGGTTTAAAAATTAACTAAAACAAAGTTACCTTTGCTCATTATATAAAAAATCTGGAAAGAGCTTAAAGTTCATTGATAGCAAACTATTTAGGGAGGAGTTCTAGGTAGATATTCAAACACAAAATAGCAGTAGGCATCCCAATACAGAGAGATGACATGAAAGCATTGGTGAATTTAAAATGTAAGTCACAGTATAGATTGTAAAGTCCTGTAAAGTTTGTTTGTATTAACTGACCGAAAAAAAAGAAAAGCCCAGAAGAATACTGGTCATATTTTTTTGCAAGGAAATCAAGAATTAAGGAACTATATACATGCTTTTTATTCCATATTTTCTTTATTATTTGAGTTGGTTTTTCCCCAAGGCTATATCACATCTGTACCTAAATAAGGAGGTTAATTAAAAACAAATAAGATAACTGCTATTTATACATTTACATAGAAAAATTACACCGTTTTGAAATTCCAAAGCTTCTAGTAGATGCAAGCGCCAGTATTAAGTGTGAGAGAATTACACGGCCACATGCGTAGATCTCACAAATACAGAAAATATCGTAAAGATAAAGAGTTCATGGTGGGGTCAGAGCAAAGGTTATTACACAAAATTATAGGTGTTTTATTTCTTCCTTTCGTTAGAACCAAAAAAAATTCATGTTTAACTCTGTGATACATCCATTTATTCATTGTGTCCACAAGAAAAAATAAATGTAATAGCAGCCTCTTTCTTTACCCTGCAATTTGAATATTTCAGACTTGATAGGCTTGGCTGTCCTTTCAATTTATGATATGGCAGCCTCATGAATATCGGCATTGATAAAATATGTTCTTTTAATAAAAACAATTCAAAAGAATAAGTCCACTTTTAAAATGTGTATTTGTTTGTTTATTTAGGTTGGTTTATGAGCTCTCACTTTTGTAGTCATTAAATATAACCTGGAAAGAATGCATTGCTAAAACTGTAATAGGAAAACAAAAATATAAACCTCTGGCTGGAAATGCATCAAATGACCAGGGAAATAAAAGATATGTTTTGCATACTGAGCATGACAGAATGCCATTTCACAATTACAAAATGCCAGATAGAGGCCAGGCGCGAGGGCTCACGCCTGTAATCCCAACACTTTGGGAGGCCGAGGAGGGCGGATCACGAGGTCAGGAGTTTGAGACCATCCTGACCAACACGGTGAAACCCCGTCTCTACTAAAAATACAAAAAAATTAGCCCTGCGTGGTGGCGGGCGCCTGTAGTCCCAGCTACTTGGGAGGCTGAGGCAGGAGAATGGCGTGAACCCGGGAGGCAGAGCTTGCAGTGAGCCGAGACTGCACCACTGCACTCCAGCCTGGGAGACAGAGCGAGACTCCGTCTCAAAAAAAAAGAAAAAAGAAAAAAAAAAGAAAATGCCAGACAGAATACCCACGTTTCAGAATAAGGAACACAAGACTAGAAATTACTGAGTTTTAAATATTTTATGGTTGATTTTGAAATGATTAACAGTAAGTTCTGTAGGAAAGGTATATTTTAGATTGTTTTACAAAATGCCATGTATTTAACTGCTAAAGAAATGTCAGGTTTCAACAGGAGTCATGTGACAACACATGACCCCGTCAAAGACCACCTACTTGTGTCTGGAAATTAACCTTCAAGTTGAACTCTTGAGCCCCTTCCCAGAACCAAAAGTGGGCCACACTGCAAAAAAAAAAAAAAAAAAAAAAAAACCATAAAACTGGTATTCACCATGTTTTATTCTCTGATTAACCATAGTGATGTTGTCCTTCCTTGTGTCTGCTGCTCAGGGACTAAACATTCAGAAAGACTTATAATGCTAGTTCATTCTGTCATAATATATTCAAATATGCTTGATAACAACCCAAACTATTTAAGGTATGTAGTAATTCAAGTCACTTGCTCATTCATTCCAGAAATATTTATTGGAGGTATTTATGCAATGTAGACACCATGGTGGATGCAAAGATTCTTCCGTTGCATAATACAGAAAAAGAGACGGGATTTGAAGAGACAAGATTTGGGTTCAAATCCCAGTTTTGTCTTGTGCTGGTTGGGGAAACTTGAGAAACATATTTTCTTCCCGAACTGTAATAATCTTAATATGACAAATGAAAACAATATGATACATATGTCAAAAAGTTTGAGTGATTTTAAAATGTTTATAAAAGTTTTTTGTAGGTTTTTTTTTTTTTTTTTTTTTTTGAGATGGAGTTTCATTCTTGTCTCCCAGGCTAGAGTGCAATGGTGCGATCTCGGCTCACTGCAACCTCCACCTCCCAGTTTCAAGTAATTCTCTTGTCTCAGCCTCCTGAGTAGCTGGGATTACAGGCACGGGCCACCACACCAGGCTAATTTTTGTATTTTTAGTAGAGACGGGTTTTGCCATGTTGGCCAGGCTGGTCTCGAACTCCTGACCTCAGGTGATCTACCCGCCCCAGCCTCTCAAAGTACTGAGATTACAGGCGTGAGCCACCGTGCCTGGCTGTAGGTTTTATACTTATGTTTACTATTACATCTTTTATTGAAAATATCATATAGATGGTTTTTAATTCAATAAAAATAGAACAGAAAACGTTCAAATTCTTGAGAGGAAAATTCATTTTACATGAACATAATTAGGATACTGGGATGAAAATATCTTAGTAAAATGATACAAAACTGTTTACAACTTTATCATGGTCACATAGATGAAAATAAAACTTACATGATCATAACTCAAAGTGGATCCTACATTTTTTTCTAGCAGAGATTGTCAAATCTGTATTCAACATCGAGTGTCTGGATGTTTATTTGTGAGCCTGGATGCTTGATTTACATTGTCAGAATCATGACGGCAGAAACTTGTCTTGTTCATCACTTTTCTGCCTACAGTGATTGAGACTTCAAGCAAGCTGAGATGTGACAGAGGACAAAAATGAATTCTATTATAAAACTTTCTTAAACTATCAAAGGATGATTCAGATGCAAGGTTGAGAATAGCTTGCTAAGCTACTTTCTTTCCTCCATAGAACCCAAACCAAAGAAACCTATACAGATAAAGTTTGGATACTGCCTATAGTTTGTGGGCCAGTTACTTCTTCATTATCTCATTTATTATTGAAAACTCATTATTGGAATTATTATATTTCTACCATTGGGACACTGAATCTTGGAGATATATAATAGAATGACCTTTCCAAGGTTCCTTGGTAAATTTCTGTAATCATGCTAACTCCCAAGCACTGATAGTCCCACTGAGTGCTCTCCGTGGATAGGTATACCAGGAGAGAACATGTGAGTGCAGGAAGCAATGTAGAATACAAGTGTAGTGTGTATGTTTAAACTCAATGAGGTTATCACAAGGGCTTCATTTTATATTTATTTTTAAGTTATGTGGGCACATAGTATATATATATATGAATATATATGTGTGTTTATTTATATTTAGAGAGAAAGTACATAAGATGTTTTGACACAGGCATGTAATATGAAATAAGCACACCATGGAGAATGTATATCCATCCCCTCCAACATTTATCCTTTGAGTATCAAACAATCCAGTTACACTCTTTATTTTAAAATGTATGCCAACCCTTTAAGAAGTTAACTGTTCATGCTCCTAACCAATACGAAAGCATCAACTCACATTGCCTTTGAGGATGAGGCATGAGTGAGTCAAGTGTGAAGGGTAGAAGAAAGGACAGCTGTTTAATGAATGGACACTTGTGTCTACTATTATGTAACTATTGAAAGAAAATGACAGTGGTCATCTAAAACTGAAAAATTGATGGTATTATATATTTTAAAAATATTTCCCCTAATTCCATGCTAGTATAATTGATATCCCTTTATTTCAAATCATTTTTTAAGATTGTTCCCCTAAGTTGGAAAATTCTTGGAGTTATGCCTGAGTAGTAGCACCCCATCTAGCTGAGGTGGATGCTAGGGACTGTTACTGTTCACATTAATGTGAGTATTTCTGTGATGGAAAGTGTGTAATATGCATATACACCAAGACTAGGAATAAGAAGATTTAAGGGAGTGAGAGACTCTTTTGAGGCTTAGAGAAGATGCCAGTTAAAACTTTAGCACTAGGAAAAACTTGGTAAAGGAATTCCTCAAGTCATTTCCCTGTGTAGAAGGAAACACTTCTTGGGGTGACTTTGGTGTCCTTCAGTAGCCTTCTTTACACCTCTGGCAATCTAGGGGCGTGAGAACACAGAATGCATATAATGGGCTGGTCTGTCATCTGAAGGTCTGCAGGGGCTCTCAGAAATTTCCCAGGCTGCACCATGTGAACTGTGGACAAGATGTGTTGTTTCTTGTTATCTGCATACCTTCTCTCATGAGCGCTATCAATAGCTTTTATAGAAAACAAATGTAATATGTGCACTTAAAAACTGAAAGGGTGTGAATGGTTTGCCCAGCAATGTAAAACGAGTCAAATTTTAAGGTAGGAAGAATACATAAAAGTGATAATATCAAGTTATTAGAAGTTCTTATTGCTAAATATCATTTGACCTTTAATTTCTAATTTTTCTCAAGTAAAACAGGATTTTGTAAAATATTGTGCTATATATAAGCATACATAATTAGAAGTGCTAGTTTGAGATGGGGTGGGACAGGGATAGGTTATGTAACAAGAATCAATGATGCCTATTTATACCTTTAAACAACACATTCAGTGTACGTATCATCTGCCATTAGAACTGAAGGTACATTAAAAAAACACAGACAGACATGCACGCACACACTCGCACACACAGGCAGTACTTCACCCCTTCTAGAATTTACTCTGGTGGGAGATACCTGCAAGGCAATGGGTAATCTCACCAGAGTGACTTCCTGGATCATGATTACAAAAGCTCAGGTGCTCTGGGTACAAGTGAAGAGGGCAGTTTATCCATGCTGGGGGATTCTTGAAAGGCTTTTCATAGGAAGGAAATTGCAGGATTGGATCTGAAGCAAATTTGGCTGAGTGAAGAGGGCAAGTATTCCAAACAGATGTGAGGGTACGTTCAGAAGGCTGGAGGTGGCTTCTTGCATGGAAGGTTCAATTCTGAGTGAATACAGTCACTCTTGGGTTTTCTCTCAGATTGAGTAACGTTCCCTTGAACTTTTATAAAGTCCTCTCGCCATGATCTGTGAAAACAACATATAAGAAAAAAATGGCTGGTGGAGAAGAATAATTACTCAGAACAACAAGGAACACATTTTGTCTTAGGGTGAGTAAACATTGCATACACATTCCTGTACACAGAGACCGACACACACACACCCATCACTTCTGTGGGTAATTCACACTTGTTGGTTATCCTTCCATTATCTGAGTAAAATAAAAGGTATTTTGGAAAATATGCATTGTATGTTAATAAGCATCTGAATTTCTATGTTCACAGTTTAAAGTGCCATTTTACCAACTATATAGTGATTCCAACATCACAAACTTACATACAGAGAATACTGTGTTTTCAGGGGACAGTATAAAGACATTCTTATCTTTAACATGATCTTAAAAATATAAACTCCCATTAATTCACATTATACATGTTTCATATTAAATAATGATAATTTTTGAGATAGCTTAGGAAGATTAAAACATAATTTATAATGGAATTTGAATTTTCCTGAGTATATCCTAAATGTGAAATGTGTTTAGCACCCCCACTCAGATTGGCTGACAATAAATGTTGCCTCTGGCTGGTGGAAGAGGTTTCTGAATGGAACGTGAGAGGGAGCTAACAAGTCACTTGAAATTGCCTGTTTCTGACCCTAAATCACCATCATAATCATCATAATTTCTTTCTTTCTTTTACTTTCTTTTCTTTTCTTTCTTTCTTTCTTCTTTTTTCTTTTTCTTTCTTTCTTTTTCTTTCTCTTTCTTTTCTTTCTCTTTTCTTTCTTCCTTCCTTTCTTTCTTCCTTTCTTTCTTTTCTTTCTTTCTTTCTTTTCTTTCTTTCTTTGTTTCTTTCTTTCTTTCTTTCTTTCTTTCTTTCTTTCTTTCTTTCTTTCTCTCTTTCTTTTCTTTTCTTTTCTTTTCTTTTCTTTTCTTTTCTTTTCTTTTCTTTTCTTTTCTTTTCTTTTCTTTTCTTTTCTTTTCTTTCGTTCTCTTTTTCTTTTCTTTGACAGAGTTTTGCTCTTGTTGCCCAGGCTGGACCGCAATGGCACAATCTTGGCTTGGTGCAACCTCTGCCTCCTGGGTTCAAGTGATTCTCCTGCCTTAGCCTTCTAAGTAGCTGGGATTGCAGACATGCACCACCCACGCATGGCTATTTTTTTGGTATTTACTAAATACAGGGTTTCACCATGTAGGTCAGGCTGGTCTCAAACTCCTGACTTCAGGTGATCCACCTGCCTCAGCCTCCCAAAGTGCTGGGATTACAGGCATGAGCCACTGTGCCTGGCCTCACCATTGTAATTTCTGAGGACAGGTCCCCAGTAACTAAATCCTTGATTCCTGAGAAAAATGATCTTGCTGCAGACATATACTTTTGTTTTCAAAACTAATGTCATTAAACGGATTTTCAAGATATGAGTGAATTCCCTAGATTTATACTGCCAGCATTTCCATATGCATTTTCTCTCTAAATACTTTGTTATTAATATTCTAATTTTCCTATGTGTAGACTCAAGAAATTGACTTATCTTGAACTGCCTTGGATCGCTCATTTCAGCCAGTCATAAGTATAATACTTTCTAGAATAAGTCTGAGTAGATTTGGGGGTGAAGATCCTGTCCTGTTTGGTTCATTAGCATAAGACTCTTAGAAAAGGCATTGACTCAACATTACAAATATTATATATACAAGGTAGGAATTTTCATGATAACCTACCTTGATTGATCTCAACATTGTCTTCTATTTGTCTTTTCATTTTATTTTCCTCTACTGTCTTAGCTCTTTTGTGCTACTGCAGCAAAATACCTGGGACTAACTGATAGAGAACAGAAATGTATTTCTCATGGTTCTGGAGGCTGGGAAGTCCAAGATCAAGGCATTGGCAGGTCTGGTGTCTGTTGAGGGCTGTTCTCTGCTTCCAAGAGAATACCTTGTTGCTGCACCCTCTGGAGGGAAGGAATGCTCTCCCTTCACATGAAAGAAGGTGAAAGGGCAAAAGGGGATGAACTCTGGGTCATGCCCTTTTATAATGGGGGGACCTACTGTAATCACAAAAGAGCAGCCATCACAGGCTAATCACTTATTCTAGGCCCAGCTTCCAATACTATCACATTGGCAACACCCAGATTTTAGAGGGGACAGATTCACACCTCCTATGTTAATTAGTAGTACAATGTACTGGAGTATCGATATTAAAACTTTTCATATTATGGTACAAATTGTTACTACATTTAGTGTACTGAGTACTGGGTATTGAATCATTTTATTTTATGTCAACATTTTATGAAAGATCTGGAACTAATGCAAACTTCTGCCTTCTATCAAAATGACCGATAACATGCTTCAAATAGCCAGGGAATGGCTAATAGAAAATATACATTAAATCCCCCTTAATTTTTGTTATTATATTGGAAATTTTGGTCATATTTCTAATGAATAAAATTTATTAGATTATTTGTTTATGCTAAATTTTAAGTACCAGCAAAGTTTCATAGTAAGGAAGAATTTAACATTTACATCTAACCCGTGGTTCTAAATATACTCTAATTGACAGAACTCTTCTTTTTCCCTTTGGGCAAGAGATTATTTCTGAATTGTAGCTATGACTAAATTACAAAGTGTTTTAATTTCAAGTACGTTTCAGTTTTACAGGATTTTAATTTTACTTTAGTGATTTTAACTGAGTATGTTTCCATTCTAACTTTATAGAAGTAAGGCATGACATGTTACATAATCATTATTTTCTCTGTTTAACAAACTACTACCTCACTGAAAACCATGGCTCTGTTACATTCGTCCCTGCACCTAAGTGGCTTATCTTTTGGTACATGTATTTTAGGTGCCCAAACAACTCAATCGTAATAGCAAAGGAAAAAAATATAAACCAAACATACATACACCCCCCAGAATTTTACTACTTTTTTTAAAACTCACTTATTTAAAATTACATGTTGTAGGGGTGTGTGTGTGTGGTGATTATATGAACAATATATATCTGCATATATGTACAAACATACATATTCACAAGTGTGTTTATATATAAATTATTTAAAATTCCATATGCACATACCTGCATATATGTGTGGAAATTAATTACTGGAAAGTTCTTGGTGAAATTACGAAAAATGTATTAGTCAAATAATAAGTTTATTTCACTGAAATAGTGAGATTGGGTCAAGAAAGAAAAGATTTATCAATCTGAAGTAACGTGATTCAGCTATCACTTTTCAGCTTTGTGTCTTTTTAAAGCACAACTCGCAGTGCTTGTCTAGACATTGGAAATTGGCTTTTTTTTTCACATTTATATCCCTGTCCTTTTTCTAATAAATATTGGAGCAGACATACACATTGTGCAGAAAGTTAGAAAATGGGTAATGAAGTCCAGGTGGATATACAGAAGGACAAGAGGAGGATATTGTGCAAGAATCGGCAGAAAGGTCTGAATCTGGGAGGAACACCCACCTTTCACTCTGAGATTTCCAGCAAAAAGAAAAGAGAGAGAAGGCAATACACTTTGTGATTTTCGAAGCTCATAAATACAAAAATAAGTCTGTCCCAGAAAGCTCACATGCTTCGCACATGGAGGGGGCCTTGAGTGATGTCCTTGATCCCTCGATCAGCATCATCCCCTTCGTAATGATTTCAACTCAGGAGTCACCAACACCAACACGGGATTCCATTCAAAGGAAGAATTTTTCAGGGGGCAGTTTTGTAATAGAATACATATTTTCTTTTTTTAAAAGTATTGCTAACTCATAATCAGAGAAATAAGACTTTAAACATCACAAAGTCTAGTATTATTTTACAAGTGATTTTTCTGTCATTTCAGCTTTGTTATCACAGACAGTAACAATACTCACTCTACTAAATAGACCTTAGCATATTTTCTGTATCAACTTCTGATTGTAAATGCCTTAAGAGCAGTGACCTGTTTTGAATCGTACCTAGCCTTCCAGGCCCATCTCAAATGTTACAGTCTTTGGAAATCTCCTCCTCCATCTGAACCACTGCCACACTCTGTTCCTATCTTGCAACACTTTTCACATTATGGCTTTTATTATTAGGTATTGTGAACTTGGCATCCTTGTTTTGTGGATAGTCACATTCTAGGGTTCCCACTGATACGGTTTGTCTCTATGCCCCCATCCAAATCTCTTATTTTATTTTTTATTTTATTTCATTTATTTATTTATTTTGAGACGGAGTCTCGCTCTGTCGCCCAGGCTGGAGTGCAGTGGCATGATCTCGGCTCACTGCAACCTCCGCTTCCTGGGTTCAAGCGATTCTCCTGCTTCAGCTTCCCGAGTAGCTGGGAGTACAGGCACCCGCCACCATGCCCGGCTAATTTTTTGTATTTTTAGTAGAGATGGAGTTTCACCGTGTTAGCCAGGGTGGTCTCGATCTCCTGACCTTGTAGTCTGCCCACCTTGGCCTCCCAAAGTGCTGGGGTTACAGGCGTGAGCCGCCGCACCCTGCCCCAAATCTCATGTTGAATTGTAATGCCCAGTGTTGAAGGTGGGGCCTGATTGGAGGTGATTGGATCGTGGGGGTGGTTTTTAATGGTTTAGAACCATCCCCCTACTGCTGTCTCATGATAGAGTTCACAGGAGATCTGCTTATTTTAAAGTGTGTAGCACCTCCCACTTCTCTCTGTCTTCCTCCTGCTCCAGCCAAGTAGGACATGCCAACTTTCCCTTTCCCTTCCACCATGACTGTAAGTTTACTGAGGCCTCCACAGCCGTGCTTCCTATAGATAGTCTACCGAACCTGAGCCAATTAAATCTCTCTTCTTCAAAAATTACCCAGTCTCAGGTGGTTATTTATAGCAAGGTAAGAATGAGCTAATACACCTACTGAACCCTGTACACCTGCGGATGCCTAATGACATGTCTCACACCCTGTTGACATGAATGTTGGTATCCATCACCAGTCAAAAACTGTAATGCTGACAAAGGATTCCTTTCTGTCATTTCTTGCAAAAGTAAAATATTCTCAGGGATTCTGTTGAATGCATTATCTACTTTTAATATAGTAAAGCCTACGTTAGCATCTAGCTGTCACTTTGTTAAAATATGAACCTTGATACCTATTTATTCTTTGCGATATCACAATAGTTATGGTGCCTTACAATTCATTAAATAAAATCAGCTGTAAAAAAATGCCTAGACTCTTTGTGTAAAGTATTTTTATTGGAGGTTATTACTACAGAGTTTCCCCAAGTAGGATGATCTGATATTTTCAACTTACATTTATTGAGCAGGGCAGTATTTGAGTGCCACGTGCATTTTCTCATTCTAAACAACTGCATTTAGCTTTCATATTTCCATGAGGAAGAAAGAAAACATACATTGCAAGTTGAACAAAACCATCTTCCCTGACAAACAATTGATTTCATGTAAATGAAAGCCATATTTATATGTGCATATGTGTTCCAATGTACTCTGAATCTATAACCAGAATACTTTTTTCAAAGGGTTTTGCCATATTTAAAAGTTGCCCATAAACATTGTCAACAATATCTGCTGATGTGAAGAGCAAGTTCTTGATGTGATATTACCCCGTGTTCTTGTCATCGTAGTGTGCCGAAATTCTATTTAGTTTTATAATTGTGGTCATCTACGGAGCTGCCTCACAATGCTCCCATGGAGAGGACTCTACTTTCTTTTATAAAAACATTTTTATGCCCTGAGTTATCTTCCTGACTTCATCAGACTCCTGCTGAAGCACCACCTGTCTTTCTGGCATATGAACGTAATCTGAAGTGCTGGCGTTGCCTTTCCAGGGCAAATCTAGTGTATTCTATGAACGAGGGGCAACAGGTGTAGCTCTTGCAAGCTGGACCAGGGATGGGAACTAGCGGAAGAGAAGATGTTCCTGTGGAAGAGATGCCACTTGCAGTTTTATACCCACTCCCCATGAAGAGCCACTCCTGCCTGGCACTTATGGCTTGCTGAAAAGATCTAAGCAACTTTGAAATAGGCAGGATGCCATTGTGACAGATGGGTCTCCGTGTGGCCAAGATGCCAAGTATTCTATGCATCAAGTGTCTCTGCTAAAAGTTTGAATCCCCGCCAGGAAAATCCAAATGGATGTCTGTCTCCAAACCCGGACATAATGTTTAGGGCGTGACCCTCTCCCGAAATCCACTGCCGCCGGGCGCTAACGTTCCCTCGTCCGAGGTCTGGGTGTGAAGGTTGGGAACTGCTAGCCCAGAGTTCAATCGGATGCAACAGTCCCCCAGCTGTCCCTGCTCCTGCCCTCTACTGCAGACGCAGGTCCATGACACCTCAGAGCCGTGCTCCTGCCAGGCCTGCTTTTTGTATGGAAACCCAAGAAAAATAAATATATGTTGGTTCTGAGGAAAGGAAGATTGTACGCAGATATGTGGTTTCCAATCTATACTCGACAACACAGTGTAAACAATTTCTTATCTAAAATACGGATCAGAATCTACGATTGTCAGACTATATGTAATCTACTTTAGCAAGAGTTAGCTTTTTACCATTGCAATAAATCCACACGGGAAAGTCTGCTTTTGGGAGGGGTGTTATGCCTATGAATTGGAGTATTTGTGTTAGATTTTTCTTGTTATACATATTTTATATATATGTTATGTATAAATACACAGGTATATGTATGTGTATATATGCATTTCTCTTATATATATAATCATAAGCATGCGTATTCCATTTTCTTCGTTCGGCAACCACAGTTGGTAACACTTGACTCGGCCTGACCATATTACATCTGAGAAACCGAGTGTATTTAATTCAATTTCTATTCCCTCCACACGTGCAGTTTCTCATATCTAATATGAATTGAATTAAATACGGTAGCTATTGCCTGGTAATTTCACATGAAACGGAATGCGTTTCATCATCATCATCATTTTCTTTGGATAAATGTTCTGTTCCTGTTTTCTGTGACTTGGGAATACCCCATGTCTTTCTTGTGAGTTCAGGAGGTGAAGGTGAAATAGCAGTAGGTGAAACTCCCTGATGTCCACAGGCCTCTGCCACAGCTTTGTCTTACATTGTGGTTACATGGGAACTCATGCAGGTAGTGACGTAAACTGAGAAAACACATTAGCCTCTTAAGTGTGAAAACGTCTCATGTTTATTACTAATTTCCTTTTCCGAGTTCATTTTCACGGATTAGTGTCCAAACAGAGGATCTGCTACAAAACTTGCAGAAGTTAAAGGCGACCGTTATATTTCTATCTTCTATTTTTTTTTTTTTTTTTTTTCTTTTTGGGAGATGGAGTCTCGCTGTCTCCCAGGCTGGAGTGCAGTGGCGCGATCTCAGCTCACTGCAAACTCCGCATCCCAGGTTCACGCCATTCTCCTGCCTCAGCCTCCCGAGTAGCTGGGACTACAGGGGCCCGCCACCTCACCCGGTTAATTTTTTTGTATTTTTTAGTGGAGACGGAGTTTCACCGTGTTAGCCAGGATGGTCTCGATCTCCTGACCTCGTGATCTGCCTGCCTCAGTCTCCCAAAGTGTTGGGATTACAGGTGTGAGCCACCGCACCCGGCCCTATCTTCCAATTTTTAAAGTGAAATGTTTCTATTTCCTCTGCACACTCACTTGCATAATTCCATAGCTTTGTAACAGAAATGATTGCACCTGTAATACTATAGAGTCTCATGACTCCGTGCTTTTGTTTCTTTAACTTTATATGCACTTTTCAGAAAGAAACTGTGTAGGGAGCTCAACACAAATCAATCATCCATAAATGTAAAATCTTCCTCTCTGAGTAATTTAGGTATCGTACTAAGATTTGTTTCTTCAGGAAATGTCTTTAAGAAACTGCAGCATCACACCTTATATGTGAAATAATCACAGAATTTATAGTTTAAAATCTTAATTGGCTACAATTAATTAGAGCCCTATTTTGTATACATTCCTTTGGTAATCGCATTAATTAAGAAGGATGCACAGTAATCGGGTTCCATCCAAACAATAATATCCCTTAACAGCTGCTGGCTGGAGAAGCTCTTCTGGTTATGAAGCCCCAAAGAGTCTGGTGGGAAGGTTGGCGTGCAATTTGGCAGTGACTCCCTAATTCTGGTAACACATGGACAACTCCCTCGCTTGCAGATTTGTCAATGGTTCTTCCTAAGATTAATTGTAGTCAGGAAAAGCATGAAGATGGAATTCTAATCTGCACAGTACATCTGGTTGACGCAGAACTCAGTCTTGGTCCAGCAACACCTACTGCAAAACATATGGATGGGAGCATTATTAAATGAGCTGTGGACGCATATGTTGGTGGCGTTCCCCTGTAGAGCTCTTTGAGGGCAGGGCTTCTGTTTAAAATAAGACATATGGGGGTAGTTTTCATTCTCTATTTGATGCTGATGGACAATGGCCATTAATAGCATTCAGTGAAGAAATATTCACTGAGTGTCCAAGCACTTTACTAGGAATTAGGAAAACAATCAAGAAAAAGCAATGGTCCCCCGCCAGAAACATTTTAAGGGACAGAGGTGAGGCTGTAAACAATTATTGCAAGTAATTATAACACCAAATGAGGATAGCAATAGAATCCACAAACCTGTGGCAGGAAAGAAGAGAAACAACTTGTGTTGCGTGACGGAGTTTGGGATGTACCTAACAGCAACGCTACTAGGTTTGCACCAACCTAATCTTTGCAAGACCCACTGTCCTGTGCCTGTTCTGAGTGGTGGACTCTGCTTTGATCTGTGATCCCTCACGATTTTTTTTAAAGCAGCTGGTGCTGGCCACTTGTGGGGGCTCACCCCTGTAATCCCAGCAGTTTGGGAGGCCGAGGCAGGTGGATCACTTGAGGTCAGGAGTTCGAGACTATCCTGGCCAACACGGTAAAACCCCATCTCTACTAAAAATACAAAACAAATTAGCTGGGTGAGGTGGTGGGTGCCTGTAGTCCCAGCTACTTGGGAAGCTGAGGCAGTAGAATTACTTGAACCCAGGAGGTGGAGGTTGTAGTAAGCCAAGGTTGCACCACTGCACTCTAGTCTAGGAGACAGAGCAAGACTCTGTGCCCCCCCTCCAAAAAAAATAGCTGGTGCTGTATGTCATTTTATGTCATTTGGCCTCCAAAATTTCAAACTAATAGAAAGTCACTGGTGGTTATTCTGTTTCCCTTAGACCAAAAACAGAAATAAATGAAAGTGCTAAACTCTTTGGTTCCTGACCTACATGTCACAGGTATTTACAAAGGAAGCCAAACAAACTTGAGCTAAAATAGGAAGGCAGGCTTTTGAGAGTGTTCATTTCAGACTACCCCAGTGAAGTCACTAAAGGTGGGATTGAGACGAGCTTATGGGGCATCTGGCATGAAGCCTCTGGCACTTTGTATGGAAAGAGTTTTCTAGAAATGCTCTCCTCCCGTTTTCACCTTCAATCCTTGTCCAGCCTTTCTGCAATGGCATTGATCTAGACAACCCCACAGCAAGTTTTCCTGTGAAAAGAAAAAAAAAAAAAAAAGCAGAAAATGATTTCTTAATGTAAGAAATTCTTCCCTCTTCTTTTATTAGATTCTGTTTCTGTCCACGTCATTTTAGTACAATCTACTGCCTTCGCATGTTCTTGCCAATAATTTCAGTGGTAGCTCTGGAAGCAGGTCTCCACCTAGCTCAGTAAGAGGACTTTTCTAATTTTATGCATTGTCTTTTTCTTTTCCGTTCTTTTCTTTTCTTTCTTTCTTTTTTTTTTTTTTTTTTTGAAGCTATGTTGAGCACTAGAAAAGTACAGGATCTGAAATTGGAAAGAACTGGGATTTAGGTTTTTTCTTTTTCTTTTTCTTCTTTTTTTCCTTTAATAAAGGTTACAGAAGAAAGACCAAAAGAGTACGTACTTCTTGTGGAGAAATTATTAAACTGAACTTTCTGGGTGGGGCTTAAAATAGTACAAGCTAAAATATGTTGCCACAAAATACCTGTCTAGTAATTTTTCTGATGAGCTTCTCAGAAGCCTCAGAGAGGAATTGTCAAATTTATTTGGAGAGAAATGAGAAAACACCGTGAAGTTTAATGAGCAACTCCAATCTAGAAGTGATTGATCTGGCGGCTTCTATGTTGGAAGCCCAAGAAGAAACCAACGTGATTTACCAGTCCCTTGCTAGAGTTGATTCAGTTTCTGGGTGGTTATAAAAACTTATTTCAGTCTATTTATGCAGACTTCGAAGTAGTTATTTAGTGTGTAAATTATATGAACATTTCCTCACAGGAAGTTAAACGCTTCTGTCAGGAGAGCTCTGAGATCCCTGGATGCAGGTAGAGGGCAGGTATTAGCAGTAAAGTTTGGCCCTGACTTGGGATTAAGGAAAATTATTAAGGAATGTTAATGACATTGAGGTATAGACCCACACCTTAATCACATCCTATGGAAAAGTGTATTCATGGGACCTGGAAAAATATGCTGTGTCAGAGGTCAAGGGAATTACCTAACAAATCTAGAGAAAGACCAACAGACTTTTCCCCAGTGATTTTCAAAAATAATTGTCTTTCATCTGCATATTGGTTAAGTTATTCTCTCAGCACCTGATGAAACACTTTATCCAGTATGTATAGGCAGAAATTACGACTGGTGGACAAAGGTCATTTGAAACTGATGGAGCAGACAGAATTTGAGGAAAAGCCAAAATCTTTAATGTGCATTGGTATTAGTCCATTTTCACACTGCTGATAAAGACATACCCAAGACTGGAGAATTTACAAAAGAAAGAGGTTTAATGGACTTACAGTTCCACATGGCTGGGGAGGCCTCACAATCGTGGTGGAAGGCAAGGAGGAGCAAGTCACATCTTACATGGATGGCAGCAGGCAAAGAGAGAGTTTTTGTAGGGAAATTCCCCCTTATGGAACCATCAGGTCTCCTGAGGCTTATTCACTAGGTGAGAACAGCATGGGAGAGACCTGACCCCATGATTCAATTACCTCCCACTGGGTCCCTTTCACAACACATGGGAATTCAAGATGAGATTTGGGTGGGGACACAGCCAAACCATATCAGTTTGATGACTATCTAATGACATTTATCAATTGGATGACTATATTTTCCCACCTTATAAGGTCCTTGTTGGGGTGAGACAATATATAATTATGTGCTTTATTATTTTTTAACACTTACAAAGAATATCTTAAAACACATTTCTATGACTGAATGTTTGTGCCCCCTTCAAAATTAATATGTTAAAATCTAATCCCCAAAATGGTAATATTTGGAGGAGCAGACTTTGGGAAGTGATTAGGTTATGAGGAGGGAGCTTTCATGAATGGAATTAGCGTCTATAAAAAAGCTTCAGAGATTCCTTGTCGTTTTTACCATGGGAAAACACAGCGGGAAGGTGCCTTCTAGAAACCAGGCAAGACCCTGCATCAGAGGACAAACCCGCTAATAACTTGATCCTGGACTTCTCAGCCTCCAGAATGTGAAAAATAAATTTCTATTGTTTATAAGCAATCCAGTTTATAGTATTTTTTATAGCAGCCAAAATTGACTAAGATACATCATCAACATTGACAGAAAAAGCTTATAAAGTTGTATAAATCAAGATATATGCGTTGACTGTTCACTGTGATGAGATAATACAATGGAAGTGTAAATAGTCACATTTCCCAAGATGAATAATAATTTAGTCCAGTATAACAAGTGTGTGTATGTGTATAATGAAACACAATTTGAAATATATGTTCTGCAACATTATAACATTAAAACTGATATAAAAATTTAGACAATAATTAAGATTCAGTCCTAAGTAAAGTCTGGTTTTGTGAGTTACAGAAAGTGGGAGTTAAGAATCTGACATGCTATTGGTTATTCATATATGCTGAAACATTTCAATCATTGATAAAGTTTAGAAAAGATAAATAATATAGTAAAATCATCCACAAGACTTCAGTTTCAGCTAGTCGTGTAAAGGGCTCACTCCCATCCTCATAAGAAGAAAAAGCTGGGCAAACCCCAAATCAATGACTTCTCTGAACCCATCAGAGAACTGAGGTTGCAGTTAAATTGCCACCTGGAAATGAAGGACAGGTGGGTCCACAGAGTCACAACCAAAACAAATGTACATGGATCAGAGACTATAGGAGCTATATACAGGTGAGATCACTTAAATGGTCACTTTCATGAGCTGCTGGAAGCAGTGGTGTGAGAAGGAGAAAATCCGGGGGTGTGCAGTCTTAGGAGGCCCCTACACTCATTGCCTTTACTTCTAGGAACCCCATGAAGTGCTCACGGTGAAAATTCCAGGAATATCCCTTCTTACCTCTGGCAGGTCAAGGAAAAATGGACATTGTGAAGTATCCTAGATCCTTCTACATCAGGAAGGCTTTCTCTTTAGGGAAAAATCTCTGCTAGAAGGTTATCAGGGAAGGGTGTTACTTCCATGTCAGACAGACCCCTTTAGCCTTCCTGTCTTGCTAGTGGAAAATTCATACTTAGTGGGTGTCATGGCTTCAAGGAAATAAAATGGGATTTCTATAACTGGAAAAGTAGTAGAAGGCAAGGAGGTAAAAGGAGGTATTTTGCTGGGAAAATTCTCAGAAAAGTCATAGCCCTGAAACACAGGATCACTAAAAGACTCACAGCTAGTAGGAAGGTTATAAAACACTCTACCATCCCTCACTACCACAGCAACAGGCCTCCTGCATTATAAGAGTGGATTACAGCAGAAGGCCCTGCCAGGGACAGTCCTCTCTGAGAAGAAAATCAAATCCTCTGACACCTACACCTACAGCAAGCATTAAACATAATCCAACTCCTAGTCCGATTAACACAAATCTTCATGCTAAAGTCCTGCTTATCACATTTTTTATTAACCAATACATGTCAGCCTTTTACCAAAAAGAAAACGAGAAAAAGCACGGGGCATGCTAAAGGCAAGGAAAACACGTTCGGAAGAGGCAATGCAGTGGAATGACTGAGATTTGAGAGATATGTTGACATTGCCAGTCAGGGAATTTAGAACAATTATGATTTATCAGATATTTTAAGTGAGTATGATTAGTATGCTTAGAGTGCTAATGGGAAAAGTAGACAACATGTAAGAGCAGATAAGCTATGCAAGCAGAAACATGAAAACTCTAAGCATCAAAATGAATTACTAGAAAATAACATGGTGACAGAAATGAAGAATACCTCTGATGGACTCATTGCTAGACTGAATACAGCCTAGAAAAGAGTCTGGTGGACTCATTGCTAGACTGAATATAGCCTAGAAAAGACTCGGAGCTTGACTGCTGTTGAATAAAAACTCTCTACATTGAAATGAAAAGAGAAAAAAGAAACACAAAACAAAGAAAAAAAACAGAAGAGAACATCCAAGAACTATGGAATGGTTTCAAAAGGTACACCGTAAAATTCATTGGAATACTAAAAGAAGAAAAGGAGAGCAGAGAAAGATAGATTTGAGGAATATACTGGGAGCTTTCCAAAATTAATGATAGACACTAAACTACAGAACCAAGAAGGTCAGAGAACATCAAGAATTATAAATCCCAAATTATCTACACCTACCTATATCATATGCATACTGCACAAAACCAGAGATAAAGGAAACCTTGAAAGAATTCAGGAAGGAATACTTTACCCTACAGAATAGCAAGTATAAACACTGCAGCAAATTTCTTATCAGAAACTGCAAACAAGAAGAGAATGGAGCAAAATATTTAAAGTTTTGAAAGGAAAAATACAACTACCTAGAATTCTGTACCCAGCAAAATTATACTGCAAAAGTGAAGGACATAGACGACTTCCATGGAGAAAGAAAACCACCTTAAATTAATGGAAAACTATTGTACATTCCACAGAAGAAAAGTAATTATTTTAAAAGTAATAATTCCCAGATGGTGTATTAGAATATCTATGCCTATATCTGAGTCATAACCTTACTTTTATTTTCTATCAAATGATTTTAACTCACAAAAAGAAACACAATTTTTTGTTATGGCTGCAGGATATAATTAATAAACAATGGCCAAAGTGAGATGGCTATTGTCTGTAATCCCAGCACTTTGCGAGGCTGAGGAAAGAGGATTGCTTGAGCCCAGGGGTTTCGGAGCAGCCTGGGAAACAAAGCAAGACCCCATCTCTACAAAAAATGAAAAAAAAAAAAAATTGCCGGGGATAGTGGCATGTGCCTGTGGTCCCAGCTACTCTAGTAGTTGACTAGGAGGATCATTAGAGCCTGGAAAATTGAGGCTGCAGTGAGCCATGTTTTTGCCACTGCACTTCAGCTTGGGTAACAGAGTGAAAACCTGTCTCAAAAAACCAATAAAACAACAACAAAAAGAAACACAAACCAAAAATAATTTAAATTTTTTTTCCATTTAATTCTAGTAAGATGTTATGAGTTTAGGATTTTTATATTTATTTTAAAGGTACAGATGCTGAGGTTTAGGATATTTATGTATTTTGCCCAATGTCCTATTTGCAGTAATTCATACTTGAGGGATTTTAACAAGGGACCTTCTCATTTAGGAGCCCAAGCTTTTTGCCGTTTTGTCTGAAGGTTAATAGCGAGAGAGTTCTTTTGGCTTTTATAGTAGAAATCAATGCAGAAGGTACATCACAAAATGGAGAATAATTTATTCTTAAAAGTAGAGAAGTAGCTTTTCACTAGGAAGATTTCAAAGAGAGTAAAAGTTGTGGAAAAAATAGAAGGACAGGGAAAGTGATTTAAGTAAGAATATTTCATCATTATTCCCTAACTCTTGCACACACAGAAAGCAGCAATTATCTTAACTGTGGCTTGTTACATACCAAACAGAAAATAGAACATTCTCTCACTGTTATGTTGAATGCAAACATTATGATGGCACTTTAAGACATATAGATGAATTAAGTCTTGAATAAGTACAATTGTGCTATATTTAGTAGGCAAGTCATTTAGGAAAGACTAATAGGAAAATACCTACTAATATAGTCAGTTTCCACATTTACTCACATTGTGAAACTAAAGGTACTTTGAAAAAAGAAACTCAAGGCCGGGGGCAGCGGCTCACGCCTGTAATCTCAGCACTATGGGAGGCCGAGGCAGGCAGATCACGAGGTCAAGAGTTGGAGACCAACCTGGCCAGCATGGTGAAACCCCGTCTCTACTAAAAAAAATACAAAAATTAGCTGGACATGGTGGCATGCGCCTGTAGTCCCAGCTACTCGGGAGACTGAGGCAGGAGAATTGCTTGAACCCCGGAGTTGGAGGTTGCACAGCTGAGATTGTGCCACTGCACTTCAACCTGGTCGACAAAGTGGGGGAAAAAAAAGCAACTCAAAATGTAATAGCTACCTTGAAAAGACAAACTTATTTAAAATATTTAGAATAAAAACTGAAAAACAAAGTGTGTGAAATCATGTAAGAGGATGTATTCCTTTGCTACAAAAAACTTAATGAACACAGTCCTTGGTCCTTTAAGTTGCTGGGGCCAGACCACCTCTATTCATCCCTTTGACAACTCAGTGTTCTACCCACAATAACATAAGTTGTATGCAAGAATGTGTTTTAAAGGAAAATAATACTTAATAAAGCATATAAAGAGTGTTAACTGAATAATGTATTTGTTTTGTTAATATTTACTTGGAAAAGAGTTCAGGAAGTGTCATCTTCAGAATTTAGACAGCAAATAGTTTCTTCTGCTAGTGAAAGGGTGATTTTCTAGACTCAAGGGTTCTCACAGGAAACTTCCTTTGAAGCGAAGAGTGCAGGTAGCATCTAGAAACCTACCATATATCATACAAGGATAATTTGATTATTGGTCAGCTCCAGAGGTGAGAGGGTCTGAAAGTTTCTTACAGTATATTTTTTAATATGCTTTCTATTTTAATTTATCGGATCAGACTTCCTGCCAAAAGTGGTGTTGCCGAAAGTATTTGAAGGCAGGAAGAATGAATGGGGGTTTGGGAAACTGGGACTGGTGAAAGGAAAGAGTGGCTCTGAGAAAGGCAATTAGATGTGAGAATAATAATTTTAAGGATAGTAAGATTTCTTTTTTACTTTTTCTTTTTTTCTTTTTTTTTTTTTTTGAGATGGAGTCTCGCTCTGTGGCCCAGGCTGGAGTGCAGTGGCACAATCTCGGCTCACTGCAAGCTCCGCCTCCCGGTTTCACGCCATTCTCCTGCCTCAGCCTCCCGAGGAGCTGGGACTACAGGCGCCCGCCACCACGCCCGGCTAATTTTTTTGTAGTTTTAGTAGAGACGGGGTTTCACCGTGTTAGCCAGGATGGCCTCGATCTCATGACCTCGTGATGGGCCCACCTTGGCCTCCCAAAGTGCTGGGATTACAGATGTGAGCCACTGTGTCTGACCGATTTCTTTTTCTTTAGAGAGTTAGTGATGATAGGGAATAGATGGAAATAATGTGTGTCCTGTTTTAGAATGCCTAAAGCAGAAAGTGAGAGTCTTTTACTATGTGTACATGTATATGTATTTTATAAATCTATAAATATACACTGTGTAAATATATATATTTTATAAATCTATCTAAGAGTCTAATGAGAAGAAATGGTAGCCTTTATGATATTACTTGACACAGCGAGTTATCCATTAGACTCTGGGCACCCTAAACTTCAGCAAATGACTGAAAATAGCTGGTTAATGTGTTACTTGGAGGAGAGATAATGCCTGTATGAAAATCACAGATGAGATATCAAATATAACTTTTTTTTTCAGAGATGTGTTCGAATAGTACTCCCAGGATTTCATTCCTTATGACATTTAAAAGTTGAGTATATAGAGCACTAAAAATACACCACAGGGAACGATCCTATGCTGGCAGAGAAATGTTTGAGAGCTTCAGAAGGTCCCAGCTATTTTTAATTTCTACTGTCACACTACCTTAGAGTGAGTAATACCTTTGCAAATTGTACTATGTTGGTTGAAGCGGCGGCATGGTCCCTTGTCCCAAAGAGGCCCTGGACAGTATTCTACAGAAGTGCTTGCAGGCTCTTTTTCATTGGAAAATAAATGAATACAGTCCCGAAAGGTAGTAATTTACAGATCATTGCTGATAGGGATCTTCATGCCAGACTTTCTGTTTCATGTTATTATAACTGTCCAAAATAACTGCTGAAGTTTTTACATATTAAAGGTGTTTTTGTTTTTTTAATTTTGCTTTAAGATCACATTTACCTGTGTTACTTTCTTCCATTTTAGTTTTCCCCAGTACTTAACAAGGACAGGCTCACAACACTCTTGAACTTCTGGTTGACTTGGATGGTTGGGCGCTCCCTGGCTCACTCATATATGTGCTTAATGATATTCACTATATGTGTTTAATGATATTCTGTGGCTCCATGTGTCCACAGAGAGGGCAGTGTAGGACCTGGAAAGGGTAGTAGGCTCTGAGTCAGGACGATTGAGCCCTACCAGCTGTTTGACTTTGAACATGTCTCTTACCTCTTCAAATAGCTAGTTTTATTTGTGAGATATAAGTTGTTTGTTCTTTGCCTGACTACTGTGAAAGAGAAATTTAAAACCCAACCTTCTTGCATGCTGTAGGCATAAATACTCATAGATGTAATAAATTATTGATTTTTTAATGGGAAATACATTTACTGTACTTTCATTGTTCCTAAAATCCACAGTTAAGGAATAATGAGGAATTGGAGCTTTCTATGATGCCTAATTTTAGGTGATGGTTGGTCATCATGTTATGACCAGAGTTCAGAGATTTGAAGAAGGTAGAACACCTGCCCTGACTTCCTCTGACTCCAGAAATGATTCTAACATACATTGGAATTCGAGCCTATCCTATCCTGGTTCTTTTCCATGGTAAGTCCTTTCTCAAATCTTACACTAATGCCAGTCCTCCAAAAAAAGTATTAAAATAAAAGAAATAAATACAAAATGAAGCCATATGATTTTACACTTTATGAGAAGATTTATTTAAATTATAATAGCAAATTCCGTAATAGGCTCAAGGAAATATAGTCTTCAATGTCAATAAATGCATTATCGGCGTTGAAGGCATCCATGCAGCTGATGTGGTTAAATCAAGGGATGGGAAGTACTTCTTGGCCATTTGAGTTTGAAGAGCCAGGCTAACAGTAGGTCCTGCTGCTAAGAAGACTCCAGGTCCTTCTCCTCTCACCTTTCCATTGTGGAGCTCTGACTGCTTCATCTGTGTTGCTCTTTAGAGTTGTGGGACCTTATTACAACCTTTGGTATAAACATTTAGTCCTGAATAACTTGCTTCAAAGAAAGGAGTTTCTAATCCAAGTTTACTTCATAATGTTTTATCATGTAACAAGTTGACATTTACAGGTATTTTAAATTGCCACCAGAGAGACCACATGCTGCTAAATATATCTCCTGTTTCAGTATTTTTTGCAGTTTTAAACAACATAGCTCATAAAACATTAACGATATACATTTGTACAATTGGTGTATGCCTTAGCACGGTATCATTCTCAAGGGTAAAAAAAGTCACTCAACTGCTTGGACTTCGTTTTAAAGACATGAAGCTTCCTGAATTAAAACCACAGGGGTATATTTAAGAGCTACTTATCAAAGATGGTAATTTTATCCATAAAGCAATTGCTAAATGGAAATCAGAAAGGTCAGCTGTAATTCACTCCAGGGAATGAAGATGACACACTAAGTCTGGCTGTAAGTGCAGGGTTGGTCAGAGAGAAGCACTGTTTTAAAACTAAATAACAAATGTTCCTGTGGGAAGATTGCATTACAAACTGTTCAAGATTAAATAAGAGTACAAAGATAGAGCAAAGGTAAGTTCATATCAGTGGAACAGTGTATGGCTGCGTATATCTAATACATGACAGTATTCAAAGTTTATTATTTAGTTTATTATTTATTTATTTATTTATTTATTTATTATTAATATTATTTATCATTTATTTATTATTATTTAGTTTAGTATTCAAAGTTTATTATTATATATAAAATGAAATGTGCTAAATAAGTTTAGGTTGCATATTGCTTGTGTAAAAATATACATGCAGTACATATGTATGTATAGAAAAAACATAAATGATAAAAATAAAAATATGTGTATGTATGTATATTTTGTGAAAAGGATACACATGAACCTGGTAACTGTGTTTACTGCCTGGGCAGATAAGCTACAGAGGCCAGAGGGAGACACATTTTCCATTTATATATTTTGATATATGTAGAATTTTGTATCATGTGCGTATATCACCTATTCAAAAGTAAATGATTAAAGTATATGCCATAAAAGTTATAAAGAGTTAAATAGATAATCAAAATATTACAATGGTCAAAGGATGTTATTAGCCACAGCATAATATTTTCTAATTCTAAGAAGAAAATGTCTTGAATGTTTCATGTAAAATTTGATGTAAAGTTGACATTTGCTTTGCAAACTACATTATATTTTTCATTTATTCCTGAAAAGATTATAGAGTAGTTTCCTTTCTTTTTTTTTTTTCTCCTCTTTAGAGATGGGTTCTTGTTCTGTTGCTAAGTGGCACAATCATGGGTCACTGCAGTCTTCAACTCCTGGGCTCAATCAATCCTTCTGCCTCAGTCTCCTGAGTGGCTGGGACTAGAGGCGTGTGCCATCATGCCAGGATTTTTTTTTTTTTTTAATAGATAGAGCGAGATGTTTTGTCTTTTTAATGGATGGAGTCTTGCTAAGTTGCCCAGGTGAGTTTCAAACTCTTGGCTTCAAGTGATCCTTCCATCTTGTTCTCCCAAAAAGCTGGGTTGACAGGCATTTTTCTTTTTAACAAACTTCATTGATATATAGTTATTTGGAAGAAAAGATGAAAATCAACAAATATACACATATATATTCTTTAATGTAAGTCCATATAGCCAAAGCCACAGTATGTTTGCATCATAGCTGCATTTCCTTACAGCCTCTTAAATGATGTTTGAGGTTGACATTATGTCTTTGGTATTTGACCTCTGGTTGTGAAGATCAATATCTGACTGACAATCTTTTTAACGTATTTAGGGTAAATGGAAGTGTCCTTTTGGCTGGTGGGAAGTGTATATATATGTCATCATCATGATGCTACTCACTCAGATTTATCTTATTTCTTTGAGAATATGTAATCACAATTGTGCCTCCCTCCAAGGAAGGCACCTCTCCCTATCATTTACTTACCGTCCTCTATGCTAATATGATTCAGCATCCTCTATGCTCTATGCTAATATGCTAGTATGCATACTGCCAGTTGGATTTTTTAAAGCTACAAAGAGCCTTGCAAACTTTCTAGTTTTAAATTAAAAATGAAGTATGGGGACAAAGGCTAATAGAAGTGTCCGGAAACGTAAAGAAACATCTGACATTTTCTTTCACTTTTTTGGTGGGGAGATCATATGAATTCTTACAGAGGTAATTTTAAGCTCACAAAGATGGAAAAACATAATTGATGTAGCTTTGTTTTGAAATAATTCTCAACTATGTATTAAATTCTATGAAAACTTGAATAATGGAAGAAGCAATGAGCTGCTTTCAAGTGTAGAAATCCTAACTGCAATAGTCTTCTATAGATAACTACACTTCTAATACCATTATACCTGAAATTTTGTGTTCAGATGACACAAGCGGAATAAAAAATTATCACAAACTTAACAATGTAGTTTTGTTTTCTAGAGGTTAAAAAGACAACTTTTGAGGAAGCGTCTGAAATATAGTTGTTTCTACAAAATAAAAGAGGTTGATCTATACTAACTTTTGGTTTAAGAAAATCTTTCTTAGCCCAGATGACACTTTGAACATGCAATTGCTGTGTAATACTGACGAGGGTATACTGTTGCCCAAAATAATAAGTTGAATTGCTTCAACTCTGTGTAATCTCCTTTTGACAATAGTTTAATTTGTTGAACATCGGCATTCTTTACTTTCAAATAGTATGGTGAATCATTAATTCATTCAAATATATTTATTAAGACTTGCCATGTGGCCGCACTGTGCTGGGCACTTAGGATGCAAGGGAGAGAAGTAACTAGTGGTGCACCTGCCCTTACGGTGACTGTGCTCGACTGAAGGAAGTGTGCATTACATAAGGACAGAAATTAGAGCCGTGAGAATTCATGTGTCATAGTTTGGCCTAGATAGAAAAGTCAGTGAATTCTGTTGAGAGAATGTGATTCTGAGCTGAAAATGAAAGGATAAGTTAACTCCGTGAGTGGAAGAGAGAAGCAGATTTTCTAAGCCCCCAGCAACATTTGCAAATCTCCTTGGACAGCAGAGAGTAGGGCGAGTACAGGAGCTGGATGAACAGCCTAGGGGCACGAATCTGGAACCAGAGATGCTGGAAATCAGAAGAGGCCAGAAAGGTGGCACTGGGAGAAGCATGCACATCAGCATCTGGATTGTGTAGAAATCAGAGACTGGCAGACCAGAAGTGATGACAGCCTGGGCCAGGGTGAAGGGGAAGGGTAGGAGGACTGGATAAACTGAATGTTATTTAGGAGGCTGCATCTCCAGAAATTGGTGATAGATATGGTGCAGAGGCGTGCGGAAGGAGGTTCGTCAAGGGTTGCTCCAACATTTCTGCCATGAAAGTTGACAAATGGTGTAGCTATTCATGGAGCCTAAGGACATAGGAGGTGGATGAGTTGCATATACTGATTCAAAGTGCGAAAGAAGGTGACACTGGCAGGTGAAGCTCGAAGGGAGGTTGGAGATAGAGGCACCCAACCCGTGTCTTCATACCCCTGTCACTTTGGGACTTGAATGTGGTGAGGTATGTCTTTAAGAAAACTAGAGTGTGAAGAAGACACAAAAGCCAGGCATGGGAAGGTGGAAGGTGAGTCTGCAGTGGAAGCAGAAGGAACTACCAGAGATGGAGGAGGAAATGCAAAAACGTCGTATTTTGAGGAAGAGAGAAGAGAATAGATTAAAGCAACAGACATCCTACTTAGACTAAAAATAAGACCCATTTATTTAACAACTATTTCTTAAAGGCCTACTGTGAACAAGACTCTGGTGATGGGTAAACTCTAGGGACAGAGCAGCTGAAAGGCTTGTCCCCAGGTATGTCTGACACCAGAGAAAAAGCTATCTGCAAGACCTGCTTATTTGTTACACTGTGTGAGGCCCTCTATATTCTGTGCTTGTATCCTCTTGGAAGATGAAGTTATAGTGCATTCTAGCTTTTTCTTTTCCCACAAGAAAAAGGTCCAGTGAGATATGATTAGAAATTTTTAACTATACACATTTTAATGAGAGTTGTTCAAGACATGGTCATCTTATATTTTTGCAAAACTACAGACAAAACCCTATATGTTATGTAACCACAGGTAACTTCTAGAAGAAAAAATATTGACTTTCAGTGTCCAGATCACCATGACAAGAAAGAGTGATATAGATACGCTCATTTGCTTCTTATTTTGTGAGACAATGAGATCTAACATATTGGGATTTCTTCTCTTTAATTGACTATGGACATGCGTATCTACATTTAATTCTCAATTACCTAAAATACTTCCTGGGAGAAGTATGTTTATATCCTTCCAAATAATTCCTCAGTATATTTCATCTTTATTTTGAGTGGCTCACTTTTTGTTAGTGTATGCCACTTCAATTTTAAAGGTAAGAATTTATGTTATCAATAATGTTATGTTTTGCTTATAATGCATGGATGGCAATACCTTACAATTTCAACCAAAACTTCTCTGAAGTATTTGCTTCAAATGATGTTTCTTCCGATAGGACATATACCCACACATATAAATGCAGTTGAGAGAAAGGTTTTAGCTCAATTTGCCTATTGATACGTGTATAACCAAATTACCATTTCAGATTTATGTAACAGATCACACTTAAATCACAGGATAGGGCTACATTTTAAATGATCAAGCTGTCCCCAAAGGAGTCGATTGTGTTTAGCATAAAACTCTCACTTTTCTATTTTTAAGTAGATATCATTACCGTAATATTAAAAATAATTTTATAACTGTAATCTCAGAATAAAATTCATTATCTCTAAATCTAATCTTATTAAACGATAAATAATGTATCTAGCTGTTATGTTAAAACTTAGACAAATAAACCACACTGTCATTTCTGTCCTGCCACAACTTTTGATTAATAGAAAATATAAATATTTATTATGCAGTTTTCATTTCACTTCCCCCCGCTTCCAACGATGAACTAAATTTACATGAAAGTCAGAGAGGTTTTCAAGGACTATATAATAAAATCTATTCCATTTCGTTTTTCTCAGTCTTTCCTGTCTGTATAATTTGACAATTTTCATAAAAATTTTTCATAAAAAAAATTTCATTCCAGACACTGTCGTTATTAGCCATTCAAAGAACTAGGATATGATTTGTGAGCCATGCTCACCCTTGGATTTAAAAGAACAGAGGCATAAAGACCTGTTTTATTGTCCTTCTGTAATGGGAGTGAGCAGGCAAGCATTTGGATTTTGGTCGGCTCTCACTTACACTTTCTACACCCATGCGGTCCTTCTGTGACCATCACCCAGTCACTGTGTGGCCTGAATTGCTAGTACTTGACTGCAAAAAAATGGCAGGTGTGACACAGAAATTGCAACAAATAATTATAAATCTAATGGACCCTGTCAAAGATGACAGGTGTCTTGGAAAAATACAAAATGAACATTTTATTTTTGGCCTAAAACGGGCAAGTCATCTAAGCACCCCGATGCTCTCCGTTCATGTGTGCGTTTTAATCATTCCATTTGCAATATAGCAATGCACGCTGGGCATTCCTCCCTCAAATATCAGAAGGCAGAGGATATACACATATATATGGGCAATATTTATTTACTTATTCGTTTGCTTCATTTAACCAATAATCCATTTCTAAATATTTCCAACTAATAAAACCAAATTTTCTTTAATTTTCTTGTTTTATAAACTGAAGTCTGTTTTTCCAGTACAGAGCTAAAAGAAAGTAGCCCGGGATAATTTAAAACTAAGCATATTATAAAAATTAGACTTATGTTTAGAATCTAATGTCCCCACTTAACAAAGCCACGCCTTGCTCTGGTTTACGATGTAATGTAGAGACTACAAAATCTAGATTGCCTTTCTCTTCTTAGCATTATACAAAAACTTATTTAAGTCTCTGTCTCTTCTGTATCATCTACTGGCATATAACTTGAATTCTTAAAATAACATAATGCAGTAACAGTTGATGAGTAGAATTTATTCTTCAATACGCAGATAGAATGTATTTAAGTAATATGTAAAAAAAAGTTGTGCTGGCTTAAGATACTGTATAAATAATATCATATTATTGGACATTAACGTAATGACAAATAATGAGTTTTGAATTGTATTGGTCACTAAGAATTTATAAAACGGAGTAACAAATTGCAATCTATTAAACACTAGCACATAGTTTAATTTTGTCACCGAATAGGATATGAGAGGTTATAGCCAGGGTCTACAGCAACCCAAACCACTCCTTAAAGATATTCCCATCAGCAAGTGGAAAAGAGTCACTTGTTTTCTTGGTAAGTCATATTTGTTGTAACTTTTTTCCTGTTGAATGGATTGAATTGGTACCCCACTCGCCCATGGCCTATAGAAACAATATATATTGGCATACTTGGTAAAACTCTATTTTATTTTTTCCGTTTTTTTCTTACCTAAATGAACACTTAAATTTTTGGTTGATACGATGAAAGGATTTTGACACAGTAGAAACAAAACAGACGTGTTGTGAGTTTTATTCTACCTCCCCTGACATTGCACAGCTTCCTCTTCTGCACTCGGGAGATAATAACGTGCACCTGCCTTGCTCATAAATTCATTTAAATAAAATACCCAAAGTCAAGCCTGAAATTGTAGGCACTCAGGAAAGGCCGGTCATGATTTTACTCCTGAGTTTTAAAACATTGATAAAACTGTCATGGGAAAAGAGAAGTCAGTGTAAAAAACGAGACACATCACAAAAATGAAAGAAATGTAAATGGAGAGCCCTTCCTTGGGTTTGCCCAGGGAGACAGGCGGGTAGGAAGAATAAAGGAGCCCAAGATACTGTTACTTTTTCCTGCCTTGGACAGTGTTCCCGGCAGCTGCTGCAACCCTCCGTGGCTCCGGCTCTCACTGGATAGCCCTGCACTTCCCCCCGCCCTACCCCGCTGGAGCCCTGAAACTACCTCCTTCCCTTATTCCTTCAATCTTGCTTAGAATCGGAGGACTCCTCACCATCATCACAAGCTTGAAGTCTTGGATCTTCCAGCACGTATGCAATCCTTCCCCCGGAAAAAATTTCCAATATTTAAATACTTGCAGTGGTTTCTGTTTTTCCACTGGGACTCAGAATGGATAATTTATGAACATGGTTAAATATTAAATCAGTATGTGTAA